>NT_167244.2:0-202213 GCF_000001405.40 Homo sapiens
TGGCTGTAGGAAACCAGGTCTTTCCCTCCCAAGGGAGGTGAACTACAAGCTTCTGTTCCACAGGAAAACATAACCCTTTTTGTCCAAAACTGACACCGCTTTGAGAGCGACCAGCGGCTTTTTCCATCTCTGAAAATAATTTTCTCAACTGTGTATTTTGAAAGTCTCGGAGTTTCGCCAGAAGCGTCTTTCGTTCGGAAAAAATTCTAAACATTCCTTCTTTAGAGAAAGCTGAGATCACAGCGCTCCCATGACTAATGATTGGACCCACTTTTGCCGCCCAACCAAGATTCTATGAGTGGTGGAAATGTAGGGGAGAATGAGGAAAGGTCTGTAGTCTGTCAGATATGGGTGGAGTGGGGGTGGGGGGGGGAGGAGAGAAATCTAATGGATGTTTTCCAAGGGCGATTTTTTTTTCTTCTCTTTCTGTTTTTTATTCCCCCCCGATTTCTTAATAGTAATGAGAAACGGCAGCAAAGGAGAACGAGTCTTTTTTTTTTTTTTTTTTTTTTTTGTGATGGAGTCTTGCTCAGTCGCCCAGGCTGGAGTGCAGTGGCGCGATCTCGGCTCACTGCAAGCTCAGCCTCCCGGGTTTATGCAATTCTCCTGTCTCAGCCTCTGGAGTAGCTGGGACTACAGGTGCCCGCCACCACGCCCGGCTAATTTTTTTTTTTTTTTGTATTTTTAGTAGAGATGGGGTTTCACCATGTTAGCCAGGATGGTCTAGGAGAACGAGTCTTCTATGACCGGCATGCCTGTTGCTTCACTCTCAGGGGATCTTGAATAAGCAGCTTCTCTATTTCAGTAAATAACTATAAAGCTGTGCTGAAGCAGTCAGGTTGGGAGGCTGAAGGAGTGTTAGGACCCATAGTACAAATGAATGAGTACCAAATGGCTTACCTTCGCTGTGAGTAGGAAAAACACAAGCTAGTGTATGCACAAAGAAAAAAGAAAAGACTGGAACTAAGTATTCAAAGACTGAAACGAAATGTTCAACGATAGATATAAGGAAATGTACTTGTGGAAGTGCTGGGGATCGAACCCAGAGCCTCATGAATGTTAAGCATACGCTCTACCACTGAGCTACACCCCCACTTACAATGCCGTTTTCTTACTGATTTATTATATGCTATTATCTAAAGGTGAGGGCTTAAGGCATGATAGGTTAAAGTCCGCTATGTTTTAACTCCTGTTTCTGAAACTTCTGAATGGAATCTTGTCTTGACGCTGTGTCAAGAGGAGAAAGGCATTCTGGACCGAAAGACCCTTGGATCCTCTCACAGCCGTCATCTATTTCAAGGACTGCTGTTAGCCAACTTTCTTTGTCAGTTTCCGTCCACCTGGAGCGAAGTTCCAAGATTGAATCTTCTGGTATGTCTTCAGATTCTCTCCTTTTTAAAAAAACCTCCTCTATGGAGCTGCCAACACACACACACACACACACACACGCGCGCGCGATAGTGCCAGAGAATATAAAGACGAGTTCTGTGAGTGCTGCAGAGGAAACGTAGATCCAGGTGAGGAGACAAGACAAGATGTTAATGCACAAAAGTCAACTAAAAACGAATTTAAATCTTAAACTTAAGCCCCTAAACTGTAAAATTCCTTGAAGAAAACAGGGGGGAATATTCTTGACATTGGTTTAGGCAATGGTTTCTTGAGTATGACACCAAAAGCACAGGCAACAAAAGCAAAAATGGATAAGCGAGACTATAGCAAACTAAAAAGCTTCTTCACAGGAAAGAAAACAATCAACAAAGGAAAAAGGCAAGCTATGGAATGGGAGAAAATATTTGCAAATCATTTATCTGATAAGGGGTTAATATACAAAATAAATTTTTTAAACCGCTACAAGTCAATAGCCACACACACACACACACACACACACACCCCTTAGAATCCCAAATAACCTGATTTTTAAAACGAGCATAGGACTTGAATAGACATGTCTCCAAAGAAGACATACAAATAGCCACTAGGTATGTGAAGAGGTGCTCTTAACATCACTAATCATCAAGGAAATGCAAATCAAAATCACAATAGATACCACCTCACACCTATTAGGATGTCTGTTATTAAAAAGAAAAAACTCAAAAGGTAAGTGTTAGCAAAGATGTAGAGAAATTGGAACCCTTCTACACTGTTGGTGTGTAAAATGATGACACCACTATGGAAAATAGTAAGGGGTCGCCTCAAAAGATAAAAATAGAACTACCATATGATCCAGCAATCCCACTTCTGGGTATATGTCCCCAAAAAATCGAAATTAGAATTTCAAAGAAACATATGCACTCCCATGTTCACTGCAGCATTATTTACAATAACCAAGATAAGGGAACAATCCAAGTGTCCATTGAGAGATGAGTGGACAAAGAAAATGTGGTATATACATACAATGGAATATTATTCAGCCTTTTATAAAAAAGAAATTCTGCCATTTGCACCAGCATCAATGATTAACCTGGAGGACATTATGCTAAGTGAAATAAGCCAGTCACAGAAGGACAAATATTTCATAATTCCACTTATATGAGGTATCTAAAATAGTCAAACTCATAAATGCAGAGAACAGAATGGTGATTGTCAGGGACCAGAGGCAGAGGGAAATGGGGAGTTGTTGCTCGGTGAGTTAAAATTTTAGTTATGAAACATGAATAAGTTCTAGAGATCTATTGCACAACCTAGTGCCTTCAGTTAACAATACCATAATGTACACTTAAAATTTTGTTAAAAAGATAACTCGGCCGGGAGCGGTGGCTCACGCCTGTAATCTCAGCACTTTGGGAGGCCGAGGCGGGCGGATCACGAGGTCAGGAGATCGAGACCATCCTGGCTAACGCGGTGAAACCCCGTCTCTACTAAAAATGTTTTAAAAAATTAGCCGGGCGCGGTGGCGGGCGCCTGTAGTCCCAGCTACTCGAGAGGCTGAGGCAGGAGAATGGCGTGAACCCGGAAGTCGGAGGTTGCAGTGAGCCGAGATCGCACCACTGCACTCTAGCCTGGGCGACAGGCGAGACTCAGTCTCAAAATAAAAAAAAAAAAAAAAAAGATAACTCTGATGTTTAAGTCTTCTTACCACCCATGAACATGAAAGAACACAAAGAAACTTTTGGAGTTGATAAGTGTGTTTATTACCGATTGTGGAAATAGCATTATAAATGTATGCATATGTCCTCACTCATATGCTTACCTTCAACGTGTAGGGGTTTTGCATATATCAACTGTACTTCAATAAAGTTGTTAATAACTCCTGAAAAACAACCAAACAAGCAAAGACAAGAGGTTAATTCACAACATTGACAAAAACAAAGAGTGACAAAGGTAGCAGTTTTGCACAAGGTTGCGTCCAACATCTGGATTTGGAAATGTGGCAGCGGCTTCATCGGCGACTCTACAGCTATAGGTTTTTTTGTTTTTGATTTTTTATAGAGACGGGATGGGGGAAGGGGGCGGGTCGGTCTTCTCCCTGTGTTGCCCAGGCTGGTCTTGAATTCCTGGGCTTAAGCAATACTCCCGCCTCCGCCTCCAAAAGTGCTCGGATTACTGGTGTTTGCCGCCAAGCCTGACTAGCTCTGGTTTTAAAGACAACACAAACGAAGCCGAAGACAGAGGACTCTTTCAGAGCAAATTTTTTTGAGCAAGGAGGAAAGCACAAAGGAAGCTGGTCTCAACCTGAGAAAACCAATTCACCCTTTGTAAAACCCTCCCTACACCCCCACAAGTGAGAAAATTTCATCAGTCCCTGAAGTGCAGAAAGTAGACCCTTCCCATCTGTAGCCAAAATGTGGTGCGACTGTTTAATCCAGATACGAATTTTGGAGAACATTGTAAACCCAGCAGGGGCGTAAGGGAGAGTAGGGAGAAGTTTGTCCCTAATGTACAGGTTATGTTCTTACTATACTAGAAAGGCAAGTGGCTGGGAACTGAAATGAGCTGAGGAGTGGACGCAAGGGAAGGCTTTGAAAAGGAAGGAAGGGCTCTTGGAGCCGGGAGGGATAACACTGAGTGGAGGAGAGAAGAAGCAGCGGAGAAGAAGGCAGAAGAAAAATCGGGGACGCGTCTTTAAAGACGGATAGTATTGAGACAAGCGTGGAGGAAGAAAGCAGCCAAGCGCCGCGTCTCTGCCAAGCTTTCTCTAGGCCCTGGGGAAGAGAGAAGGCTCTAGGTGAGTGGTTTCAAAGTGTATATCCCACAGAAGGGTACGGCTCGTGTTGCCCAAGATTTTGTGACTCTGAGAGTGCCTCACTGCACTGCACTCTCCATCGCAGGAAACAGGCTGAGCATTTTCGAGGGCGTGTGGTTGAGTATTCGTGGAGCAGTAGCCCCTGGTATTGGAGGTTTGAGGAAAGTGACGTTGTGTCAGTTCTCATGTGGAAGCAGCCTGCAGCTTTGATGCAGGCAGCAACTGTTTAGTTTGTGTTTCTTTTTGTTTGTTTGTTTATTTTCGCGTGTTTGGGTTTAAAATACAAGAGAAAGAATGAGGAAGAAAGGTTAAGTAGTGACTGAACGTTTTGGGTTAGAGTAGATACCCACTAAAACCATCGTACTTCTGGCTAGCTCAGCTGGAAATGCATCAGGCCACTAGTCCGGAAATTTAGGAATCACGATCCTGTTCTGATGTAGATACTTTTCATTTTCCCATACTTCTTTTTGATTCATACTCAACAGGCTACTGAACCCAGCTTTCTCCTGGAGCAACCGGGAGGGTATTTGCGGTGCGTTTTGCTGCTTATATTCTCTCTAGTCTCAGCGGAAGAGACAAGATTTGAACGGGGAAAGTCGGATTTGCAGAGAGGTATTCATTCAAGGCTCTTTTCTGCCCTACTGTCAAGTGGATGAACAAAACGCTGACTTAAGATATGAGGAGGATTGCAGTGTTGAGAGTGCAAAAAGTGTCAAGTCAAAACATGGACATATTTTGCTCATAATGTAGATAAATTATTTTGGTAGACATAAATTTTATTATTATTATTATATTTATTTATTTTTTGAGACGGACTCTCGCTCTGTCGCCCAGGCTGGACTGCAGTGGCGCGATCGCGGCTCTCTGCAACTTCCGCCTACCGGGATCAAGCGATTGTCCTGCCTCAGCCTCCCGAGTAGCTGGGAGTACAGGCGCCCGCCACCACACCCGTTTAATTTTTGTATTTTTAGTAGAGACAGGGTTTCACCATATTATTCGGGCTGGTCTCGAACTCCTGACCCCAGGTGATCCGCCCGCCTCGGTCTCCCAAAGTGCTGGGATTACAGGCGTGAGCCACAGCACCCGGCCATAAATTTATTAATATAAAAAATTATTGGTCAGGAGCAGTGGCTTACACCTCAAATCCCAGCACTTTGGGAGACCAAAGCAGGAGGATCAATTGAGTTCAGGAGTTGGAGACCAGCCTGGCTAACATAGTGAGAGCCTGTCTCTACAAAAAAATAGAAAAATTAGCCAGGTATGGTGGTGCACACCTGTGGTCCCAGCTACACCAGAGGCCAAGGCAGGAGGATTGCCTGGGCCTAGGAGTTTGAGGTAGCAGTGAGCCATGCTTGCAGTGCCACTGCACTCCAGCCTGGGTGACAGGGCGAGACCTCAACTCAAAAAATAAATAAAATAAACTTTACTTAAAAAAAATTACTGAGGGGACAGCCAGAGTGGCTCACGCCTGTAATCCTAGCATTTTCGGAGACCAAGACAAGAGAACTGAGTCCAGGAGTTTGTGCTCAAGTAATAACAATACTATCAGCACTCAATCTTGGTATCTTAAAACTTGACATTTAAATGAAATTTTAATTTGAGTCAATTAAGAATAGAATATTCCACTTTTGCATAATTAACCATGAATTCACACAACAAATCAGAATTTATTTATTTCATTTTTATTATTATTATTTTTTGAGATGGTGTCTCACTCTGCCACCCAGGCTGGGGTGCCAGTGGCGTGATCTCAGTTCACTGCAACCTCCACCTCCCGGGTTCAAGTGATTCTCGTGTCTCAGCCTCCCTAGCAGCTGGGATTACAGGCGCACGCCACCAAACCCAGCTAATTCTTGTGTTTTTAGTAGAGATGGATTTCGCCATGTTGGCCAGGCTGGTCTTGACCTCCTGACCTGAGATGATCCGCCCATCTCGGCCTCCCAAAATGCTGGGATTACAGGCATGAGCCACCATGCCCGGGCCAAATTGGAATTTAGCACCCACATTTATCTTAACTCAGTAGTTCCTAAGTAAAAGAGATTTGTAAGGCCAGGCGCGGTGGCTCACGCCTGTAATCCCAGCACTTTGGGAAGCCGAGGCGGGCGGATCACGCAGGAGATCAAGAACATCCTAGCTAACATGGTGAAACCCCGTCTCTACTAAAATTACAAAAAAATTAGCCGGGCTTGGTGGCATGCGCCTGTAGTCCCAGCTACTCAGGAGGCTGAGGCAGGAGAATCGCTTGAATCCGGGAGGCGGAGTTTGCAGTGAGCCGAGATCGCAGTTCACACCACCGCACTCCAGCCTGAGCGATAGAGCGACACTCCGTCTCAAAAAATTAAATAAATAAATAAATAAATAAGTATTTGTTTGTATGTCAATCTAGGAACAATTCACAGCCGTCTCTACTTTGAACCACCCAAAAGGCTGATTTATGTGAATTTAATTTCACTTGACAATTAATTAAACTCCTCTGCATATCCTGCCTTTTGTTTTGTTTCTTGTTTTGTTTGTTTACTAAGAGACTGCAATCTGCTTGTAGTTCACCCCTGCTCAAGCAAGACATACATTCAGTTTTGTTTTTTCAGTTGTGAGTAAATACCTCTTTTCCTCAGCAATATGTGGGTCCTGTGAGTTTCTTAGAGGGCCCTGGCTCATTTTGCTGATAGGGTTGCCAAACTCTTAGTGTGATAATAGTGCATTCTTTGACCACTTTGTTTCTAAATTCTGGCCATCCTTCAAAACTATGAGCTCGAGCGAGTGTCCCAACCACATGAGTTCCAGGTTGTTGTAATTGAGCCTTTATCAGTACATTTTGATGAAAGCTTTTCCTATTAGGATTTGGATTTGTGACCTTCAGATTTTTGTGGAAATTTATTAACAATGTTTGACTCTCGAGTTTTGAGAGCCCAAAGAAAGTTTTTGATAGAAACTTTCTTTTCTTGGTGATATACTCTCCTTGATTGTGACTTCTTCCTCTTCTTCCTCTTTTTGTTCTTTTCTTTCTCCTTCACCTTCTCCTCCTCGTTCTCCTCCTTGTTTCTGCTTTTGTTAACCAAGGTCTGGAAAGATTTTACTTTTCTGTTTACTGTTTTATTTAAGCTTGTGTTGAGAGTAATAAGGAAATCGTAGAAATCAGAGAGAATGGCATAGGCCCTGTAAGTCACCATCATCTTTAATGCGGATGTTAACCAGTACAAGAACCCCGTTAGAGTTGCATTTGCTTTCTAGGGCAAGATCTTTGCTCTAAGTTTTTTTAAACACATGGCTGTCTATCTTTAAAAAAACAAATCATTTTTATTTTATAGAGTATAATTGTCGAACAGTCTTAGCTTTACAGAAAAATTTAGAAGATATTAGAGTTCCCATATACCCTGCACCCAATACCCCTACTATTATGATAGTCCTTACTATTAAGATGGTACTTTTCTGCCGCGCGCGATGACTCACGCCTGTAATCCCAGCACTTTGGGACGTCAAGGCGGGCAGATCACCTGAGGTCAGGAGTTCGAGACCAGCCTGGCCAATATGGTGAAACCCCTTCTCTACCAACAATACAAAAATCAGCCAGGCATGGTGGCGGGCACCTGTAATCCTAGCTACTCGGGAGGCTGAGGCAGGAGAATAGCTTGAACCCTGGAGGTGGAGATTGCAATGAGCAGAGATTGTGCCACTGCACTCCAGCCAGGGCGACAAAGTGAGACTCAAAAATAAATAAATAAATAAATAAAATGCCGGGCACGGTGGTTCACGCCTGTAATCCCAGCACTTTGGGAGGCCGAGGCGGGCGGATCACCTGAGGTCAGGAGTTTGAGACCAACCTGGCCAACATGATGAAACCTCGTCTCTACTAAAAAAACACAAAAATTAGCCGGGCGTGATGGCGGGCGCCTGTAATCCCAGCTACTCGGGAGGCTGAGGCAGGAGAATCGCTTTACCCGGAGAGGCGGAGTTTTCAGTGAGCCGAGATCGTGCCACTGCACTCCTGCCTGGGTGACAGAGCGAGACTCCGTCTCAAAAAAAAAAAAAAAAAAAAAAAAAAAAAAAAAAAAAGAAAAGGGTGATTTTGTGTTGTGTTTGTTAAATTCATGAAACAAGTAGGACAAGACCATAAATTGAAAAACCAAGCCCATTCCAAATTACGAATGCCTCCGGTAGTACCTATGCCAGGGACAAAGTGCACTTTAATAGTCAATACACAGGTTGCTTACCGGGTTCTTGTTTTTTTTGTCAATAGTCTTCTTTCATTTCAAGTTCCCAAAGTCTTGGGAACAAGCCGGTTTTTTTTTTTTTAACTGGCTTGCAGAAAGCTCAAGGAGATGTGCAGAAAGTAAAGATATTTCCTGACAATAGTAAGAACACGACCACGAAGGGACTCGAACCCTCAATCTTCTGATCCGGAATCAGACGCCTTATCCATTAGGCCACGCGGCCGCACGCGGGTGCTAATTTGCACACATCAAGACTGAAGTGTAGTGAGGAAACGTTGAGTTTCTGTTTTCAAACCTTTAACTTCGTAATTAGAGATTTAACAACTTGAAGGGGGGCGGGGAGAGGCGGGGGAGGAGGTGGGCAGAAGGAATAAAACTCCATCTAAAATTCCTAATAGCAATTCCTTAGAATTATAAACTGCGAGATGATCAGAAGTGACATCTTTGCCTTCTTTGAAGGCTCTCTTCTCTAAGTTACTAATAATGATAATGCACGTTCGGGTACAGAAATATGAGCCAAGAACTCAAGTCTGCAATGAAGGAGTGGACATGACAGCGTAAGAGGGAGCATCATTGTTTGATCTATTTTAACCTTTTCCGTCTCAAAGATACGATGGTGCTTCCTCCAGGAAGAAAAGCCTGTAAGCTCAAACAAGAGCTCCCCTGGAACAGAAGACACTGGAGACCGTAAGAGGTGGGAGGTTGGAAGGGGGAAAAGGATAGAAAAACTGCCTGTTGGGTATTATGCTCACCACATGGGTGACGGGTTCAATCGTACTCCAGACATCAGCAACACGCAATACACCCTTGTCCCAAACCTGCACTGTACTCCCTGAATCTAAAATAAAAGTTGAAATTAAAAAAAAAAAAAAAGCTCCCCCTTGTCAGAAAAGCCCCAAGTATTTTGCCTAAAGGTTGATTGCTCTAAGCTCACCTTTGGATTGATCCAGAAAACAGTCTGGGGCGATTTTTTGTTACCCTTTCCCCAGCTATGTCCCCTATGTTGATAGGGTAGGAAAGATTAAAAAAAAAAACAACAACCAAGTTTGTAAAGTAAACCAATCACAGATTCCCTCAGTTTTCGCATCGTCTTGGCTTCATGGAAATGACGAGTTACTGGGAAGAAACTATTTCATTTTTCCAGTGCCCAGTCCTATCTCCTTTCCCCAGAGAGATGCATCTCTCAGCCCTAAACTTTTCCTGGATCCCTTGTACACCATTTTCTCCAGGTTTCTCCAGTCAAAACTCAAGAATTGTTTTAGGCCATATTTTGGATGGTGTATCCTATGTACACTAATTTATTAAGTAATGACCCATGTTTGAGACCACGGAACGCTAGTTCTGGGGCCGGACTAGATGAGTCTGGGTAGACAAAAGAAAGGTCTTCTGCTGTTCCCTATGAAACTGATTTAGTTAAGTCCCTTTCTTTCTCAGAAAGCGTCCTATGAGGAGCATTAGATTGAATAAGGGTTTCTGGTGTGATCCAGTTTGGGGAGGCTACTTGCTCTAGTCAGTGCTGAAGAATCCATCTCCATTTTGGGCAAGATGCACTACCATGACTTATGTTTCAACAGACTCAAACTTATTCACATGTTTTGAAATTGTTCTCAGTTTTGCTTCCTCACCTTCTCACTAGTGGATTTTGTGCCCAAAGAATAGCAATCCAAAATCTCAAAATCTAACAAATTTAAATAAAAGGGCATTTTTTGTTCAGTCTGGAGGAGGAAAAGTTAACTGGCAGACGTAGGCAGCAGATAGTAAAGTTGGCACAGTTAGTAAGGTTGGTAGACTGAGCCAAACCATCGAAATCTATTTATTTATTGTTATATTTATTTATTTATTTATTTATTCCTGCTGTTTGCAGAGCAGGGGTACCCTATAGAAAGTGTGTCCAAAGTAGCCTGAAATTTCTTTCTTCAGGAAGATGCTAAAAAGGATTGGCACTGAGATTTGAAAGAATAATGCTAAGAAACTATTAAATTGTATGAAATGTTTGTTTATACCAGTGATACCATTTCCTTTCCAAAGCCTTTCAGTGTTTTCTCTGATGCCTTTTGATTTTTATCTGATGGGTTCCAGGCAAGATTCCTTTAAAATGTTTAAATATTTCTAACAAAAGTATTTTGGGAGGAATCCAAGAGAGATTTGAAAGTATGACATTCTTAATCTCTCTATAACAATCTGTCTAGATAATTTCACTGAAGAAATGAATGGAGGAGGGTGTCTGTAGATAAAGGTTTCTATAATTGAGATTTGAAAAAAATAGAATTTATTTATTTGTTTAGATGAAACCAGACAACTTTCCAAGCCCTGAATCAAATTGGGGGATGTATTGCACCTTTAGACAAAGAATCTCCCAATGTAGCTACTTTAGCCATTTTACAAAAACCCATAATGCATGACCCTAATAATGTTCTTAACTTTAGAATTTGGAAAACTCAGCATTTCCTGTGAGGTGTGATCCAGTGTACAACAAACGTTCACTCACACACACAGAAAGAACTAAGATTTGCAGCACTTATGGTCTGGTTATTGACCTGACGTGTGTGTGTGTGTGTGTGTGTGTGTGTGTGTGTGTGTGTGTATGTGTGTGTGTGTTGGGGATGGGGGCTACTGTGAAAGGAAAGGATAAAGAAAACTCAGCCAAGTAAAGATTTTCTACTCACATATCTATTTACCATTCTTTTGTCTATATGTCTTTTAAAAGAAGACATACAAATGGCAAATATATGAAAAGGTGCTCAACACCATTGATCATCAAATAAATGCAAATCAAAACTAAAATGAAATGTTATCTCACCCAAGTTAAAATGACTTTCATCCAAAAGACAGGCAAGGACGTGGAGAAAGGAGAACCCTAGTACACTCTTGGTGGGAATTTAAATTAGTACAACCGCTTTGGAGAATAGTATGGAGGTTCCTCAGAAAACTAAAAATATTACCATATATTCCAGCAATCCCCCTATTAGGCCTATACCCAAAAGAAAGGAAATTAGTATATCGAAAAGATATCTACACTGTCATCTTTATTGCAGCACTATTCACAATAGCCAAGATTGGGAAGCATCCTAAGTACCCATCAACAGATAAATGAATAAAGTAAATGTGGTACGTATACACAACGGGGTACTATTCGGCCATGAAAAGAATGAGGTCTTGTCATTTGCAAAGCGGATGGAACTATGTTCTGTGCGGGAAATGCGAGAGGGGAGAAGAAAAGACACACACACAATACCTTTAAGGGTAAATAACCTTTATCCCACGTAAACGGCAATGCAGATATAATAAACAAATGATACAATAAGCAAATTGCAATGGGAAGGGGAGAAGGGAAAAGATATATATATATATATATATACACACACTCACCAAATATATATATATATATATAAATATATATATTTATATATATGTACACTCACAAGACTATGAAGGATTCATCACCACACCGGGAAGCAACAGCCCCGGCTCCAGAGTCGGCCACTCGTCCATGCACAGAGAAGGAGAGGTCTCATGAAGCTCACGAGAGCCCTTCGCGACTGAGCTCAAGGAACAAGAAAAGGTCAACTTGTTTTTGCGATTGTCTGTTGTTTTTCAATAACTAACGTATAGGAATAGATTGAAATAGAGATTTCTCCAAAACAGCACTGGATGAACACCTCAAGGGGTTCATACAACCTGTTCAGGATTTGGTGACCATTGTTTGTGTCCACGTTCAATTGAGTTCAAATTTAATACGTAACTTTTCCTCCACAAACTAGAGGACATTAAGTTAAGCTATACACAGAAAGTAAAACTTCACATATTCTCTCTCATTTGTGGAAGCCAAAAATAAAACAATTGAACTCATGGAGACAGAGAGTAGAATGATGGTTACCAGATGCTGGGAAGGGTATTGGAGGGGGCAGTGAGATGGTTAATGGATACAAAAATATAGTTAGCATGAATAAGATCTATCATTTGATAGCACAACAGGGTGATTATAGTCAACAAAAATGTATTGTACATTTAAAAATAACTTAAAGATTATAACTGGAATGTCTGTAACAAAGAAATGATAAGGTGTTGAGGCGATGGATGAGGTGATGGATGCTTCGTTTATCCCAATATGATTATTACACATTGTATGCCTGCATCAAAATATCCCATGTATCATATATATACATATATATACTATGCAGCAGTAAAAATTAAAAATTAAAAAAAAGATCCATAGACGAAGAAAAAATATCTTCAAAAATAAAACAAGAAAAAAACAAAGAAAAGATCCATTATTAATTACTGCCTTTGTCTGTCTGTGTTTGGAGAACGAATATCTGGCAGAAAAATGCTTGCTGTGTTTAACATCACTATTTCTAAAACCTTTAGACTGTGACCAGCAAAAGCGGCACTAAATACTAAACCAAAAGACACTGTTACACGCGGTTTTCCTCTCTGGCCAGCCAGACCGCCGGTCTGAGGTCCACTTGCCAAAGTGATGCCTGGCTGGCAGTTTCATCCACCAACAGAAAGGGGTCCATTATGGAATGTTCTCTTGCATCTTCAAATTCTTCCTCCTTCGTCTCTCTTACCCTCTGCCTACAAAGGCTTCAAGAAAGAGATGCAAGACAATACTGAGGGATACGAACAAAAGTAGCTCCACAGTTGCCTCGAGAAGTTTAGGTTGCAGGTAATTGGCGAGAATGAAACCCTCTGTATCTAGCAACTCCGCAGTGCTTTGTGTAGAAGACGCTCCATCTCAGGTTACGAAAATCTACAGAAAGGAAATGTTTAAAAAGAGAAAAGGAAAATATTCCTAGGGATTATAATGTCTCTCTTAAGCAGGGTCTTCGAAAAGAGGATAATTCAAGTAATATGATTTACAAATTGCAACATGAAACAAAATGAACTGAACAAATGGAGAAATCTAGATTACATACTCCGTGGGTTGCGTCTACCCAGGGCCTGGATAGCTCAGTTGGTAGAACATCAGACTTTTAATCTGACGGTGCAGGGTTCAAGTCCCTGTTCAGGCGAAATATTTGTGTGTTTTACTCTAGCTCCGGAGTCCCCAACCTCCAGTAAACGTAACCGCGTATCAGGCAGCGCGGCAGGCGAGCCAGAGAAGTTTCATCTGTCCTTATACAGCAACTCCCCAACGCTCCTGCGACCGCCTGAGCTACTCTTCCTCCCAGATAAGCGGGGGCGTCAGATTCTCACAGAAGTCCAAACCCTATTGTGAACTGCGTATGAAAGGGATCTAGATTGTGGGCTCCTTATGAGAATCTAATGCTTGATAATCCGTCACTGTTTTCCATCAGTGCCAGATGGGACTGTCTAGTTGCAGGAAAACAAACTCAAGGCTTCCAGTGATTCTACATTATGGTGAGTTGGATACTTATTTCATTATATATTACAATATAATAACAATATTAAAAAAGTGCACAATAAATCTAATGTGCTTGAATCATCCCAAAATCATCCCCCCCAACCCCTGCTCCCTCATCCATGGAAAAAACTGTCTTTCATGAAACGGTCTCTGGTGCCAAAAAGGTGGGGAACTGCCGCCCAAGATAGTTTATACCAATTAAGCACAGGAAGAAGTTCAGATACTTGTTTGTACAGTGACTAAAACTTTGCTACTTTATGCTTTACAAATGTGGAATGATTTACATCATGAAATTACCAGCCCTAAGGGATTGCCTTAGTGAAGTTGTTTTCCAAACACCAGAATACAGAAATCTAAACTATTTTAGAGACTGTTGACCTGGAGATTTGCATTTTTACATATTTTTTAGAGAATCTCCTTCAACGGTTAACTGAAAACAAAATCAATCAAAATTTCTAAACTCTAAAAACAGAGAAAGAGATATTGAAAGCAAGAAAAGAGACAAAACACCTTACCTACAGAGAAAACCAATTTGCATAACAGTGGGTATCTTATCAGAAATCACAGAAGTCAGAAAGAGTGGCACAACAGTTTTCAAGGACCGAAAGAAAAGAATTGTTAATTCTGAATTCTATATCCACAGAAAATATCCTTTAGAACTGAAGAAGAAATCAAGACATTTTCAGAGCAAAGAAAACTAAGATAATTAGCTTCTAGCAGAATTATCCTTTAAAAAATAGTTAAATTTCTCCAGATGGAAAGAAATGATAAAAGAAGAAATAATTGACACCAGGAAAGAAGAAAGAACATGGTAAGCAAAAAAAAAAAAGGTAAAAACAATACATTTTCCTTTTCCTCTTGAGCTTTCTAAATTATGTTTAACAGTTGAAGCAAAAAGTGTAACATGACCGGGCACGGTGGCTCAGGCATGTAATCCTACCACTTTGGGAGGCCAAGGTGGGCAGATCATGAGATGAGGAGATCAAGACCAGCCTGACTAACATGGTGAAACCCCGTCTCTACTAAAAATACAAAAAATTAGCTGGGCATGGTGGCACACACCTGTAGTCCCAGCTACTCGAGAGGCTGAGGAGGGAGAATCACTTGAACCAGGGAAACGGAGGTTGCAGCGAGCCAAGATCACGCCACTACACTCAGGCCTGGGCAACAGAGTGAGACAATGTCTCAAAAAAAAAAAAAAAAAAAAGAAAGAAAGAAAAAAGTATAACATGGTTCGATGTGGTTCGAAATGTATGTAGAAGAAATAATTTAAGACAATTATATTACAAGTAGGAGAGGCAAAGTGACAAAAAGGTAAAGATGACACACATCACTTTAACTGATAAAATAATGATACCAGTACACAGTGATAAATTAAATAAATATGTAATACTCAGACAAATCACTAAAAGAGTTATATAAAGAGATCATTTAAAAACACTACAGATAGGCTGGGCACAGTGGCTCACACCTGTAATGCCAGCACTTTGGGAGGCTGAGGGGGATCACCTGTGGTCAGGAATTCGAGACCAGCCTGGCCAACATGGTGAAACCCTGTCTCTACTAAAACTACAAAAATTAGCTGGGCATGGTGGCGCATGCCTGTAATCCCAGCTACTTGGGAGGCTGAGGCAGGAGAAAAAAAAAATCAAAAAAACAAAACCACACACACACAAAAACGCTACAGATAAATGACAATGAAATTCTAAAAAAGTATACTAGTAGTCCACAAAGAAGGCTTTAATAAATAAATACATACATACATACATATCCCCAGAAAATGGCAGTAACAGGGTACAAATAGAAAACAAACTGCTAGATTTCAGCCCTAACATATCAATAATTACATTAAATGTAAATGGTCGAAAGGTACCAATTAAAAGACAGAGATTAACAGAGTAGATTAGAAAATATAATCCAACTACATGCTGTCTACAAGAAACTTATTTCAAATATAATTATACATACAGGTTGAAATTAAGCATATAAAAATATATAACATTCAAATGTTAATTAAAAGAAAGCAAAAGTGAGTATATTAATATAATATGAACTTTATTTATTTATCTTTTTTCTTTGAGATGGAGTTTCACTCTTGTCACTCAGACTGGAGTGCAATGGCGCGATCTCTGCTCACTGCAACCTCTGCCTCCAGGGTTCCAGTGATTCTCTTGCCTCAGCCTCCCAAGCAGCTGGAATTACAGGCACGTACCACCATGACTGGCTAATTTTTGTATTTTTAGTAGAGATGGGGTTTCACTATGTTGGTCAGGCTGGTCTCAAACTCCTGACCTCAGGTGATCTACCCACCTCAGCATCCCACGGTGCTGGGATTACAGGCGTGAGCTACCACGTCTGGCCTAATATAAGCTTTAGAACAAAGAAAAATTTTAAAAATCCACCAAGAAGGCATAACAATCCTAAATATGTATAAACCAAACAGAGTTGAAAATATGTAAAGAAAAAAAGAATTTTTAAAAAATAGACAAATCCACAATTACATTAGAGACTTCAACACTTCTCTCATAATAATCGATAGAACAACTAAACAGAAAATCAGCAAGGATGTTGAAGAACTCAAAATCATCTTCAGCTAACAGAATTCAGTCAACATTTAAAGAAGACTCCACACAAGAAAAGCAGAACACACAGAACACAGGTCAAGATGGAACATATTCTGGGCCATAAAACAAACCTCAAATTTAAAAGAATTAACTCACACAGTATGATCCCTGACCACAATGAAATCAAACTAAAAGTCAATCACAGAAAGACAACAGAAGAACATCCAAACACTTGGAAAATGAACAACACACTACTAAATAGTACACAGGACAAAGAGAAAGACTTAGTAGATATCAAAAAATAAATTAACCTGAATAAAAATGAAAGCACAATATACCAAAATTTTCAAGACAACCTAAAAAAACACTGAGAGAGAAATGTATACCACTAACTGCATACATTAGAAAAAGAAAAAAGTCTCAAGTCAGTCATCTAAACTTTTATTTGAAGAACCCAGGTGGGGAAAAAAGCAAAATAAACCCAAAGCAAATAGACAAAAGATAACAATAAAAATAAGAACAAAATTCAGTGAAACGGAACACAAACAAAAAAAGAAAAACAAACAAAAAGCTAGTTCCTTTAGATCAATAAAAGAAGACCTCTAGTAAGACAGAAATTTTAGGAAGAGAGATGACACAAATTACCAATATCAGGAATAAAAAGAGGATATCACTGTAGACTCTGCTGACATCAAAAGGATATGTTTTTGGATGATTTCCTTTAAAAAATTTAGCCGGGCTCGGTGGCTCACACCTGTAATCCCAGCATTTAAAAAATAACTAGCCATGCATGGTGGCGGGTGCCTGTAATCCCAGCTACTCGGGAGACAGGTAGGAGAATCGCTTGAACCGGGAGGTGGAGGGTGCAATGGGCCGAGATAGCACCATTTCACTCCAGCCTGGGCAACAAGAGCGAAACTCCGTCGCAGACTTTTTCTCCCCCTTGTAAGGTCGGAGCGTTCCCACTCAGGAAACAACATTTCTCTACTCTAGGTTTATCTGGCCTCGCATCTCTCCCCAGCTGGGCCCAGCCTCAGCCTATGCTGCAGAAATGTTTAAAGTCAAGCATGTAGAGAAGGAAAAAAAAAAAGGAAAGTGATGTGGAAATTAAAATAGCAGCTGCATAGGAATCTCAACATAGTGCTTAAAATGTGCATAAACGAGACTAGGAGTGCCCTGCGCTTTTGTGAAAACTTCATTTAGAAATAAATGAGAAAGAAGGTGGAGAGGAGCCGAGAACCAGCAGGTGGGGAAAGGGAAGAGGCAGGCTAGAGTTAAAAAATGAAGGAGGAAAAGCATCCTCAAGATTATTCAGAATATATATATATATAATATACATAGTATATACTAATAATATATAAGGATATATTATATCCTAATAATATAAGTAAATAATAATATATAACTTGTTAAATAATCATATAAATAAATATATTTTATAATTATGTTATTTATTATATAATATTAACATAACATATTATCAATATAATATTTTATATAACATATGTAGTATGATATATCCTAATATATAAAAATAATATTAGGATAAGGGAATACTATTGTGGTGGTAAACTGAGGAACGGAAAGACTGATACAGGAGAACAGGAGGATATTTATTTTAAGGTAAGCAGCCACTGAGTGGATTCACATCCAAAAAGTTGAGCACTGGCCGGGCCTGGTGGCTCACGCCCATAATCCCAGCACTTTGAGAGGCCAAGGCTGGCAGATTACCTGAGGTCAGGAGTTCGAGACCAGCCTGGCCAACGTGGTGAAACCCCGTCTCTACTAAAAATACAAAAATTAGCCAGGCGTGGTTGCACATGCTTGTAATCCCAGCTACTCGGGAGGCTGAGGCAGAATTGCTTGAGCCCAGGAGGCGGAGGTGACATTGAGCCAATATCGTGCCACTGCACTCCAGCCTGGCCGACAGAGCAAGACTCTGTCTCAAAACAAAACAAACAAACAAAAAATGCTGAGCGTTGAACAAAGACAGAGCAGGAGTTTTTATAAGCAAAACAAAGGCAGTTAATCATACAGTGCTTAATTTGTGGCCTTGCAGCTGCGTCAAAAGAAAAACAAGAACTGACTAAATACAGACATTTGTAAAAACAGTTATGCTTAAGAAGCCAGGGAAAGGAGTAACAGTATAGGAATTTGCCTTTCCTTTTTTTCCCTTCAACCTTGTTCTTGGGTGGGGTGGGAGAAGGGCGTGTCTGGAAGCCGTTCCTTTGGCCTTGGCTTTTCGGAAAGTGTTATCTTGTAACTGTCCTTGAAGTGAGCTGCTAGGCAAACGAAAACTTGTTTCTTTTCTTTTTAACCCTTTCCTGTTACTTTTCTTGGAGTGAATGAATGCATATTTATTTTTAAATTTCTGCCTTACTATGAATAACTCTTTACACACAAACTTGACAATTTAGATGAGATAGACTAATTCCTTGAAAAACACAAATTAACACAACTAACTCAATATGTAATACATTTTTTATAACCCTGTAACTATTAAGGGAATTAAATTTGTAACATAATTTAAAAAAAAAATCAAGAATCTGGCCGGGCGTGGTGGCTCATGGCTGTAATCCCAGCACTTTGGGAGGCCAAGGCGGGCTGATCACCTGAGGTCAGAAGTTCGAGACCAGCCTGGCTAACATGCTGAAACCCCGTCTCTACTAAAGATACAAAAATTAGCCGGATGTGGTGGCAGGCACCTGTAATCCCAGCTACTTGGGAGGCTGAGGCAGGAGAATCGTTTGAACCTGGGAGGCAGAGGTTGCAGTGAGCCAAGATCGCACCATTGCACTCCAGCCTGGAGGCCAAGAGCAAGACTTCGTTTAAAAAAAAAAAATCAGGAATCTTCGAATCCAAGAAAATTTCACTGAAGAATTCTAAGAAGTTCTTAAGGAGGCCAGGGGCGGTGGCTCATGCCTGTAATCCCAGCACTTTGGGAGGCCGAGGTGGGCGAATCATGAGGTCAGAAGACCGAGACCATCCTGGCTAACACGGTGAAACCCCGTCTCTACTGAAAAAACAAAAAATTAGCTGGGCGTGGTGGCAGGGAGCCTGTAGTCCCAACTACTCGCTGGAGAATGGCGTGAACCCGGGAGGCGGAGCTTGCAGTGACACTCCAACCTGGGCGACAGAGCGCGACTCCGTCTCAAAAAAAAAAAAAAATGGTTAAAGAATTAAAACAAGGTCTACACAATCTATTCTGAAAAAAACAGAAGAGGACAAAAAACTTTCCATTTATTTATGAAGTTAATAGTATCCTGATGCTAAAACCAGGTAAATACAGTACAAAATAATGAGTATTGGTGCATAAATACTTACCAAAATATTATCAAATAGAATTCAGGAATATATAAGAAGCATTATACACCATGATCAAGTGGGGTTTATTCCAGAGACGTAAGACTAGGTAAATTTAGAAACAATCACTGCAATCCACCATATTAACAGGCTAAAAAATAAAATCACGTGATCATATCACAGTAGAAAAAGAATTTGTCAAACTTCAATAGCTACTCATGACAAAAAGTCTCAGAAAAATAGGAATAGAGAACAGCTAACACTGTACATCACGGTAAAAGACAGAATGTGTATTAGTCCGTTTTCACACTGCTATGAAGACACTACCTGAGACTGGGTAATTTTTTTTTTTTTTTAAGATGGAGTCTTGCTCTGTCGCCCAGGCTGGAGGGCAGTGGCCTCCTCTCGGCTCATTTCAACCTCCGCCTCCTGGGTTCAAGCAATTCTTCTGCCTCAGTCTCCCGAGTGGCTGGGACTACAGGCGCAGGCCACCATGCCCGGCTAATTTTTGTATTTTTAGTAGAGACAGGGTTTCACCGTATTGGTCAGGCTGGTCTGGAACTCCTGAACTCATGATCCGCCCGCCTCTGCCTCCCAAAGTGCTGGGATTCCCGGCGTGAGCCACTGTGTCTGGGTAATTGATAAAGGAAATAGGTTTAATTGAGTCACATAGCTGAGGAGGCTTCGGGAAACTTACAATCATGGCGGAAGGGAAATGGGAAGCAAGGACCTTCTTTACATGACAGCAGAAGAAAGAAGTATGAGCAAAAGAGGAACTTGCCAAACACTTATGAAACCATCAGATCTCATGAGAACTCACTCACTATCACCAGAACAGCATGGGGGAAGCCACCCCCATGATCCAACTACCTCCCACCAGGTTTCTCCCACAAAGTCAAAGGAATTAGAATAATTATTTAAAATCTAGGAGGGAAAAACAGTCTACCTGATTTCAAGACTATTTCATTACATTGTTGTATTCTTGTATTATTGTATTATTACTACAGTAATTAAGACTGTATAGTATTGGCAAGGAGATAGGCACGTGGTTAATAGAGAGAATGGAAAAATAAACCTACACAAATATTCTCAACTGGTTTTTGACAAAGTTGCCTAAGTAGTAATTCCATGGAAGAAAAATAAGTCTCATGCCTTCACAAAAGTGAACTTAAAATGGATCGCAGATATGAATATAAAATGTAAAACTATAAAACTTTGAGGAAAATATATGGAAGATAATATTTCCAATCTAGGGCTAGACAAATAATTTTACAGTTGACAGTGAAACATGATCCAGAGATCTTGTAAAAGCTGGTTCTTTTTTCCTCCTTTCCTCTCCTGCTATGTCAGTTGCTTTGGCTGGTACAGAGGCTGACCAAATAGAAATAGAAATAAGAGAGCAGTAAAGGCAATGAATTGGGTCATGTTTTTACTTTTTATGTGACAAAGAAATGACAGAATTGGTGGCCAGGTGCAGTGGCTCATGCCTGTAATCCCAGCACTTTGGGAGGCCAAGGAGGGCAGATCACCTGAGGTCAGGAATTCAAGACCAGCCTGGTCAACATGGTGAAACCCCACCTCTACTAAAAATTAGCTGGGCATGGTGACGCGCACCTGAAATCCCAGCTACTTGGGAGGCTGAGTCAGGAGAATCACCTGAACCCAGGAGGCAGAGGCTGCAGTGAGCCAAGATCACGCCACTGCGCTCCAGCCTGGGTGATAGAGTGAGACCCTGTCTCAAAAAAAAAAGAAAAGAAAAGAAAAGAAAGAAATGAGAGAAAAGGAAAGAAAAGGAGAAAGAGAGAAAGAAAGAAAGAAAAAGAAAGAAAGAAAGAAAGAAAGAAAGAAAGAAAGAAAGAAAGAAAGAAAGAAAAGAAAGAAAGGAAAAAGAGAAAGAAAGAGAAGGGAGGGTAGAATGATAAGAAAGGAAAGAAATAAAGAAAATTGGCTCAAAAGAGTCTCCTGGCTGACAAGAACTCTGGTGAGTTCTTCTACAGGAAAATCAGTCTCTTGTGTGTGACTACCAAAATCATCTAAAATGTTGACGGTGTCAAAGAGATAATAAATGCATCCCCACCCCTGATGTAAGGCAAATACAAACCTCACTGGCTTTCCTAGGTGGTTTGAGTTTTTGATTGAGAATAGGCAGGGAACCCCGGGAACAGCTCTTCCTCCTCAGCAGGCGCCTGGCCCTGGACCACCTTCTTAAACCTCTAGAACAGTGCTTCTCAAACTTTAGCATCAGCGGCTGGGCGGGTGGCTCACTCCAGTAATCCCAGCACTTTGGGAGGCCGAGGCGGGCGGATCACGGGGTCAAGAGTTCGAGACAAGCCTGACCAACATAGTGAAACCCCGTCTCGACTAAAAATACAAAAATTAGCTGGGCATAGCGGCGCGCGCCTGTAATCCCAGCTACTTGGGAGGTTGGGGCAGAAGAATCGCTTGAACCCGGGAGGCAGAGATTGCAGTGAGCCGAGGTTGCACCACTGCATTCCAGCCTGGGCGAGAGGGCGAGACTCCGTCTCAAAAAACAAAACAAAACAACTTTAACATCAGAGTCACTTGAGGGCTTATTCAAACACAGGCGGCTGGACGCCACCCTCAGCAATTCTGACTCAATAGATCTGAGGTTGGGCCTGGAATTTGGCATTCCTCTTGTAGCACCCTGATCCCTCACCCCTTATTCTCCTGTGCAGTGTCCACTGTGACTAACATGCCACTATTTGCTTAAAGTGCCTGGAGAGAACCAGTGGATAGAAGGGAAAACAAGTATGAAACGAAAAGAAAATGTCTGCATTACCTTCCTTCAAACAAAAAAAAAAAATGTATCTTATAACGAACATATGGTTTGTCCCTGGGGCACACAACCAGTCTTCAGCTAAGCAGGTTTCACTAGACAATATCTCTCCTGTAGGCTGGTTATGGATATTTTCACTGAACAAAAGAATCGAGAAGTAAGGACAGCCTACCCTGACAGAGTGTTAGACTGGTGGACTGATGACAAACATCGTACTCTGTTGCCTCTCAAAGACACTTTTGATTCAACGGCAAACATATACACAGAGGACAGCAGTTTTGAAACATGCAGCATTGGAAACCCCTAAAAGGTGTCATCAGTAGATAGGATTTCCTGGAGTTCCCTCGTCATACAAAGCAGATGTGATAGGATTGACAAAGAAAAAAGAATTTTTTTTTTTTAATTAGAAGTGCCAACACACCTGCAATTTACTCACCTTTACTTTGCATCTATTTTCCATTGTGGCAGAAAAGCTTTCTCTACTTTTTCATATGGGGCCTCTGTTTGCTGTTAACAGAGGTTTCCAGGCAATGTTTTATGTTATGTTATATTTTATTTTATTTTGAGACGGAGGTTCTCTCTTGCTGCCCAGGTTGGAGTGCAATGGTGGGATCTCAGCAAACTGCAACCTCCGCCTCCCGGGTTCAAACGATTCTCCTGACTCAGCCTTTTGAGTAGCTGGGATTACAGGCGTGCGTCACCACGCCCGGCTAATTTTGTATTTTTAATAGAGACGGAGTTTCTCCATGTTAGTCAGGCTGGTCTCGAACTCCCGACCTCAGGTGATCGCCCCGCCTCGGCCTTCCAAAGTGCTGGGATTACAGACGTGAGCCACCGCGCCCGGACCTCAGTGTTTTATTTTAACGAGGAGAATGGAGTGACTGATGCAATACAGGAAAATGAATCAATCGTATGGACTATCAGTAGGGAATGTGTTGATCCTTATTGATTTCGCTCCTTCCGTGTTGAAGACCTCTAATTCCCCGACAGTCTTCGTTCGGTTGTCCAGCGTCCTGCCACTCTCATCTCAAGCGGCTGGAGAGCCACATTTTCTCAGCTTTGGATCGCACTTGTGGCTGTGCTCTCTGCGCAGTTCGACAGGGAGAGAAATCAGTGGACAGATGCTTTGACTCTGGATTTGGCTCAGAAAACAAAAACAACGACCAAAACGAAATGCCCGGGGGGCGGGGGGGGGCTTTTCTGCCTTTCTTCTTCTCAGCCTTTCCTTCTCTTTAATCATAGTACAAAACCGAAGCCAAAGTGAGCCGCCTGTTGATGTGCACGCTTTTGTTTGCTTTCAAGAGACCCTGTTGCGACCTCATTCTTCTTTCTCCTCTTCCTTCTGCCGTCGCA
The DNA here is from genome assembly GCF_000001405.40 of Homo sapiens. NCBI lineage: Eukaryota > Metazoa > Chordata > Mammalia > Primates > Hominidae > Homo > Homo sapiens. The sequence continues at coordinate 23,780 of NT_167244.2, forward strand.
ATCGCCTTAGGTGATGTTGAGGCTTACATTATAGAGATGGGAGATAAGTGAAGGCAATCCATTGGGTTACGTTTTTACTCTCTATACGTGCAGAAATAGGATAGAAAAAGGTGAGGAGGCAGAAGGCTATGTTGCTTGAGAATTACATTTAAGCACTGCCAGAGCAAAACCACCATTTGGAGGTGCCGGGGATCGAACCCGGGGCCTCACACATGCAAAGCATGTGCTCTACCACTGAGCTACACCCCCCTCCTGAAAGACTGTTTTGTAATAATTTTCAGGAGGTAACTTTCATTTTCTGAGACTGGCTCCGTGAGCATGCTGGTAGTAGTGGTTAGTATCATGGAGCGCCTTCAGCTGCTCTGAGTAGAAGATACTCGGTACTAATGAGGGGATACAGATTCTTTAGTATACTGTACAGGACTTGAAATGGAAAGCAAAGTATTAGAAAAGTGTCAGATAACCGCCAAAAGAAGTTTCCAATGTGGCTTTAAAACGTTGAGTTGTCAGGATCTCCTTCTTCTGTTATGCTTGGCAAGGAATCAAATTCTGGTTTTTCATTCTTTCGATTTCTTTCAGAGATGACGCAAAGTTATTGAAATTCAGCTTTTTCTTACCTAAAATGCTTCATATTTGTTGTTTACTCAGCCGGAATATTAAAGGTTAGATTTGATTGAGGAAAATCACAGTCAGAAGAAAACCTGAGAGCGATGCACTCAGCATTTCATCTTAAGGGTCTTTAGCTGGTGTGTTGTCCTGCGCCTGTACTCACAGCTATTCCAGAGGCTGAAGCAGGAGGATCACTTGACCTTGGGAGCTGGAGGCTGCAGGGAGCTATGATCACGCCACTGCACTCCAGCTTGGGTGATGGAGTGAGACCCTGTATCAAAATCAAAAAGAAAAGAAAAGAAAAATTTATAAGGTGTGAGTGAAACAACACCTCTAGGGATGACGAGAAGAGTTGAATTATGAGGGTGAGATAAAAAATAAGTAGAAACAGGATTTAAGAGGTACGGGGGAAAGTGGTTTAGAAAAACAAACAGGCTATTGCCAAACAGAAGGAGGTGTAGAAAAGGGGAGTTTTTAACAACTCTTTAAGGAATGGGAGAAAGATTGGAAGATGGAGAAGATAAGTTAGCTTGGCTCATGCTAAATTCGGTGTATCTGTGGGGCACACTGTGAGGATGTTACATGGAGAACTCAGGCAATTGACTCTCCAGCCTGGGGTTTGTGAGCATTAGTAGTAGTAGACATATTGCATAGAGGGTGGATAAAGACTAAAAAGGGTCCTTTTAGATTTGGGAATTACAAACCTATTCACGATATTTGTTTAAAAGAAAAAAAAGCCGGGTGTGGTGGCTCACGCCTGTAATCCCAGCACTTTGGGAGGCCAAGGCGGGTGGATCACCTGAGGTTGCAAGTTCGAGACCAGGCTGGCCAACATGGTGAAACCCTGTCTCTACTAAAAATACAAAAATTAGCTGGGTGTGGTGGTGCATTCCTGTAATCCCAGCTTCTCGGGAGGCTGAGGCAGGAGAATTGCTTGAACCTAGGAGGTGGAGGTTGCAGTGAGTGAGATCATGCCATTGCTCTCCAGCCTGGGCAACAAGAGTGAAACTCTCTCTCAAATAATAATAATAATAATAATAAAGTAAAAAAAAATTTTTTTTAAAGTTTGCTCCTCTATGTTCTTGAACCCTGGTATTTATTATTATTTATCATGATTAGGGCTGTGTTCTTTGAACTACATAAGAAGATGAGAAGAAAATCCATTTCCTGACACCAAATTTCTAGTGACTGTTAACTCTTTCTCATTCTGATTTACTCATATATGAGCCTTTGCCAACACTCATGAAATAACATTGATCCCTTGTAGAACTGGCAGAAAACAGCAGGTTATATGGCAGACTTGTCTTTTCGGTTGGCTGATGGAATTTCTAGAACAAAAATAGGAAGCACTGAATGCTAGGTTTCACTGAATAAGAAACAAGAGAAGTGTTACACACAAAACTAGTGTTTGTGTGTGTGTTTGACTGTCTGTGTGTGCATGTAAATGCTAGGGAGATAATCTTAGCTCTTTGATGCTGCAGAAGTAATATTAGGACAATTTGCAGAAACACTCCTTCATCATTATGTCATGTTGCACCCAGAGAAACCTGGATGTCTACTGGATTCTTGGGAATTCATCATAATATGAAGGTCTGCTTTTTTGTTTGCCTCTTGAAAAGGAGAGAATTTTAAATAATTAAATATCTGTAGCTCTCTTCTGACTAACAACAACACGACTGAAACACAGTTTTTTTTGTAAAAACTGTGGGATGAGCTTATTTAACACAGAATTCCTCTGAGGAATTAAACATTTAATCCTGAAGACAGAACACCCTCATGTGATACATACTCAATTCAGAAAACCTAAAAATATATAAAGTATCTGTTTAAACCTGCACTGTCCAATATGGTTACCATTAGCCACACTGGCTATTGAATGCTTGAAATTGCCCAGTCCAAGTTAAGAGTGTTGTAAGTGTAAAATACATATCAGATTTGGCCAGGCACAGTAGCTTGCGTCTGTAATCCCAGTACTTTGGGTGGCTGAGGTGGGTGGATCACAAGGTCAGGAGTTCGAGACCAGCCTGACCAACATGGTGAAACCCCATCTCTACTAAAAATACAAAAATTAGCCTGGCTTGGTGACACACACCTGAAATCCCAGCTACTTGGGAGGCTGAGGCAGGAGAATTGCTTGAACCTGGGAGGCTGAGGTTGCAGTGAGCCGACATCGGGCCACTGCACTCCAGCCTGGGTGACAGAGCGAGAATCCTTCGCAAAAAAAAAAAAAAAAAAAAAAAATATATATATATGTAAATATATATATACATACACACACCAGATTTCAAAGATGTGTAATACTATTTTTTAAATATAAAATATCTCACTAATAATTTTATAATTGATAGCTTCTTAAAATAAGTTTTTGGATATACAAAGTGATTTAAATATATTATTGAAACTGGACATAAAAGATAGCAACAACAAACACTGGGGACTATGGGGAGGGGTGGGAGGGAGGGCAGAAAGATTTGAAAAGCTACCTCTTGGGTACTATGCCTACTACCTGGGTGATGGGATCAATTGCACTCAAAACCTCATGCAATTTACCCAGCATCATGTAGTATACCCATGTAACAAACCTGCACGTGTACCCCCAAATCTAAAATAAAAATTGAAATTACATAAAAATATAAATATTGACTTTTTTTAATGCAACTACTGCAAAAGGTAACACTACAAAATGGCTGTCATTTAAAACTTGTATTATCTCTTGATTGGACAGAATTGTCTAAAGACAATGTTATCCATTTAGGTGCTGTTCTGGGAGAATCCCAGAAGCAGAGAACACGGAGCATGATCTGCCAGTAATTAAGTTTCATGCTGTGAGTGGACTTGACAGAATGCATTTCTATGCATGATCTCCTTTGATCTTTACAACATCCCATTTTACAAAATCATTATTAACATCATTTTTAAGCCATTGAATGGCAGACAAATCATGCTTGGAATTGCCCTAGGCCTTCCATTTCAACAGAATGTAAAGGAATCTTTACTGCGTTAGGCACAAAACATTCAATGTTACTGTTTGTCTAGTCAAATATTTCTTAATGGAGTAAAACACAAGCTTCTGAGTTGAGAAAGCCTCAGTGAAAGGATAAAGTACCTGATTCCCAGTTTCTGTACAGTCAATGTCCCTAACCCAAGGTTACTTCTCATTTGGTACTAATTTTCCTTTTGCAACTTGCTGCAGTTCTGATAGTGGAGTATTGTAGATTATTGTCTCCTCACAGGGTATGCAGAAGTTAGAGAAAAACAACACTGAAACTGAAGCAGTAATTTGAAAGAAAAAAAATCAAAATGACCAAAAAAAGACCTATTATCCCAACAGAGAATTTCAAGAGAGGAGTTGAAGTGAAAAAGGGAAAATGGGGCACATGCACCTGAGTCTTGACTTTGCTGCCCATTTGCTTTCATTTTCAGTATTCTAGAGCCCCTCATGAATGTTTGATAAAATAATTCATATAGAAATACATATATTTCTTTTTTCCTGGATACAAACATGGAAACAGCTTAAGATTTGGAAATTCTAGACAAGGTTGCCAGGCTAAAGAAATGTCTTCTCAGCAAGAAAATTTAGAATGTTCTTGTAATTGGGCCTGGTGCGATGGCTCCTGCCTGTAATCCAAGCACTCTGGGAGGCCTACCTAGGCAGGTGGATTGCTTAAACCTAGGATTTAAAGACCAGCCTGGGCAACACGGTGAAACCCACAGTCTACAAAAAAAATACAAAAAAAAAAAAAAAAAAAAATTTAGCCAGGCATGGTGGTGCTCGCCTGTAGTCCCATCTACTCAGGGTGCTGACATGTGGAGTCACTTCAGCCTAGAGAGGTTGAGGCTGTAGTGAGCTCTGATTGTATAACTGTACTCCAGCCTGGATGACAGAGTGAGACCCTGCTTAAAAGAAAGAAAAGAAAGAAGAAAGAAAGAAAGAAAGAAAGAAAGAAGAAAGAAAGAAAGAAAGAAAGAAAGAAAGAAAGAAAGAAAGAGAAAGAAAGAAAGAAAGAGAAAGAAAGAAAAAAAAAGTTCTTACAGCACTTTAATAATGGAGTTGACTCAAGATACAAACCCGGGTTTTTCTAATTTCAAAATGTTTCTTGCATACACCACACCCCCATATATATGCTCATACAGTATAATAGTTACTTCACTGTATGTTTCTTTTTTTCATATTTCTTGTGATTTAAAAATAACCCTCGCCCAATACATATAAATAATATCAAATCAAAAATGACTTGTAAATGCCACAGCATATAGCACGTTGGAATTTCTTAGGTTTTAAAACTAATAACTTCCTAAGTTTAAGACTTTAAATAAGGACGGGCTTAGTGGCTCACGCCTGAAATCCCAGCACTTTGAGAGGCCGAGGCAGGTGGATCACCTGAGGTCAGGAGGTCGAGACCAACCTGATCAACATGGCGAAACCCTGTCTCTACTAAAAATACAAAAATTAGCCGGGCATGGTTGCGGGGGCCTGTAATCTCAGCTTACTTGGGAGGCTGAGATATGAGAACAGCTTGAACTCAGGAGGCGGAGGTTGCAGTGAGCCGAGATCGCGCCGTTGCACTCCAGCCTGGGCGACGGAGTGAGACTCCGTCCAAAAACTTTAAATAATTTATGTAATGAGAGCACTTCATGGAAGACTTCAGTGGAATATACAAAGGAGAGAGTGATACAAACATGTACATTACCTTTATCAGACTTTCAAAAACTCCCAAAAATTGGAGATATGTAAGCTTCTGGGATTGGCGTATAAGTGCTGTATAAGGGAGTGATAATTAGGCAGAACTCAAAAGATGCTGGCTGAAACCCAGGGTTGAACCAGGGAACTTTAAGATCTTCAGTCTAACGCTCTCCCAACTGAGCTATTTCAGCTACTCTAAGCACACACCCTTAGTCATTTCTTCAAAATATAAAAACGTCATTTGTAGAGTGAGTGTATTTTCTAATGCCTAATTCTGTTTTGTTCAATATCAATACAAAAATTAGCCAGGGGTGGTGGTGCGCGCCTGTAATCCCAGCTACTAGGGAGGCTGAGGCAGGAGAATTGCTTGAACCCGGGAGGTGGCGGTTGCAGTAAGCCGAGATCACGCCACTGCACTCCAGACTGGGCGATAGAGGGAGATTGTCTAAAAAAAATAAATTAAATAAATAAAATAAGTGACAGGAAAAGAAAGAAAAGAAGGATCTCTTATGTCCTCCAGTACATTCTATCTCTTCCTTAGAGTTTTTAAAATTGTGGTCTCCACACTGGTGCATAACAACTCTTTTTTGTTGTTGTTTTCGAGACAGGGTCCCGCTCTGTTGCGTGGGCTGGAGTGCAGTGGTGCAATCTCGGCTCGCGGCAACTTCTGCCTCCCCGGCTCAGTGGATCCTCCCACTTCAACGGAGGGAGAGGGAGTCTCGCTCTGTCGCCCAGGCTGGAGTACAGCGGCGCGGAGTAGCTGGGATTACAGGCGCGCGCCACCACCCCTGGCTAATTTTTGTGTTGATATTGAACAAAAAAGAATTAGGCATTAGGAAATACGCCCACTTTACAAATGAAGATTTTTATATTTTGAAGAAATTGCTAACGGCACGTGCTTAGAGTAGCCAAAATTGCTCAGTTGGGAGAGCGTTAGACTGAAGATCTAAAGGTCCCTGGTTCGATCCCGGGTTTCACCAGGTTTGTTTGGTTTTTTTAGTTCTGCCTAATTATCACTCCCTTATACAACACTTGCACGCCAATCCCAGAAGTGTATATATCTCAATATAAATTCTTACGTTAAGTCAAAAGTGTAAAAACATTGAACTTCTCTGGTTAGACATAGGAACAAATTCAGATGTTTACAGAATTTCGGAAACAACCCTCTCTGGAATGAGAAAATTGCTGAGGCCGACGATGATTTGCAAACTGAATTTTAATAAAACCTTTTCTATGTCTTAACAGTTTTCAAACTCAATCTCCTGAGAGTCGAGGCTTTCTATTTTTAGCCAAAATACGGTGGGAGGGTCAATTAGGATATATTTTTCAATTATTTCCTCAAAAAAAGTTTTAGATTCTCTTACAGACTTTTTTCTCCCCTTGTAAGGTCTGAGCCTTCTCAGACAGGAAACAACATTCCTCTACTCTAGTTTTATCCCCGCCACGCGTCTCTCCCCAGCTGAGTGCAGCCTCAGCCTATGGTGCAAAAATGTTTAAAGCTGAGCATACAGAGAAGGAAAAGAAGAAAAAAAAAATAGAAAGTGATGTGGAAAGATCTACATATGAATCACAACACAGTGTTTAAAATGTGCGTAAACGGGTCTAGGAGTGCGCTGCACTATTGTGAAAAGTTCATTCTGAAAGCTGGGCGCAGTGGCTCATGCCTATAATCTCAGAACTTCGGGAGGCCGAGGCGGACGGATCACTTGAGATCAGAAGTTGGAGACTATCCTGGTGAAAATGGTGAAACCCCGTCCCTACTAAAAATACAAAAATTAGCCGGGCGTGGTGGGGGGCTCCTGTAATCTCAGCTAATCGGGAGACTGAGGCAGGAGAATCGCTTGATCCCAGGAGGTGGAGGTTGCAGTGAACCGAGATCGCGCCACTGCACTGCAGCCTGGGCGACAGAGCGAGACTCCGTCTCAAAAAAACAAAAACAAAAAACAAAAACAAAAGCAAACAAAAAACAAAAACAAACAAACAAAAAGTAAACGGGAGGAGCCGAGCGCCAGCTTGCGGGGAGACGGAAGAGGCGGGGTGCCGTGAAGTGGAGGAAGCAAAGGACAAAAGGGAGAGAGGTAGAGGGCAAGGAAAAGCATCCTCAAGATTATTAGTACTTGGATAGACTGGATGGTAGAGTGAGTCTGATCGCCACATCTCTCCGTCCCTTCCTCTGGATAGGAGGGAAGAGAGGTTCCTTTTTGTCCCTAGGGGGGTAGGCTCGACCAGGAAGGGGACCTGGTTCGTTTCGCCCAGGCTGGCACGGCTTCAAGAGCGCCTCACCTCTCTTTACGTTGCTGGACAGACCAGTTGAGCTCTTTGGGTATGCACGTAATGTCGCATTTTTATTTTCAGTTCAGGAAATGCTGATATTGGAGCTTCTGAGGGAGCTGCAGTGATTTCCCGATTTCCTGCGCGCCTGTGTGGAAAGTTAGAAGCGGAATCTACCGGCAGCTTTGAGACTAAGCATGACGGTGGAAACAGCTAATTTTATTAGCTTTTGTCTGAAATGCAAAAGATGAGAAAGAAAATTCCCGTTTGTTTGCTCCACATACTTCTCTTAGAAGCCTATGGAAAGCCAACTTTCCCCCTGAAGAAACTCCTCCTGGCATTTGCAAAGAGCTCCTTTACTCCTCTTGTCCAGCTCTTCTCTCAAAAGGACTCTGCAGAGCTGGACAGCGGCTGCGGAAAGGCGAAGTTGTTGTACCCGAGCGAGTTAGAGAAATGCCACACTTTGAGACGAATTTAAGAGTCCTTTATTAGCCGGCGACCAAAAGAGGACTAACGCTCGATATTCTCTCGGCCCCGAGGAAGGGGCTTGATTTTCCTTTATACTTTGGTTTAGAAAGGGGAGGGGGAGCTTAGTTGCAGCAATTCTACAGAAGTAAAAGCATGCAAAAAAATTAAAAAGACAAATGGTTACAGGTAAACAAACAGTTCCAGGTGCAGGGGCTCTAAATCTATCATAAGGCATTAGGTATGGGGGTTCTGCCAGACACAAACTCAAGGCTTTATGGTGTTATCTCTTGAGTGAAATCCTGGGAACTTCGTGCATTGTTTGCTTCAGTACCTTATCAGTTAATTGGACTCTGATATGTTGAGAGTCAGCTTACACAAGTTAACTGCTTGAGGAAGGGGGTGGGTAAGGAGTCCTTGATGTTTTGTAAATGAAGGAGCCAAATGGAGTTCGTCCAGCTTTCTCAGCTAAGGGACAGCCTATTCATGTGGAAATAAGGCTAGGTGATTAACGGAGAGTCTAAAAACAACGTTAGGTATTACATTCCCCACTTGTGTTTTTGGGGAATCAAATCGTTGATTCCTCAGTTATAATAAGGGGGTCATATTGAGTTCTAAGATACATAAATTTGACAGAAGCTATGCGTTGTTTTACAAAGTTAAGAAACTAATTTAATATACACGGCCTGAAAATTAAGCTTAATAGTAGGATGAGGAGGGGTCCAACTAACCTAGTGACTAGAGTAGTTAGCCATGGATTCCAGTTAAACATGCTTTGATACCAGGGGATGTTATTTTCTCTTTCTTGTTGGCATCTATCTAGATTTTCTCGAACCTTTTGGAGAGTATCTTTTATGACTCCAGACTGATTGGCATAGAAGCAACAACTTTCTCCTAGAGCTGCGCATAAACCTCCTTGAGAGAGGAATAGTAGATCTAAGCCTCAGCGGTTTTGAAGAACTACTTCAGCTAGAGACTCTACCTGGGAATGTAACAAATCTACGACAGACTGGAGGTTACTTAAATTAGCATCTACCTGTTGAGATAGGGCCATTATTCCAGTTTCTCCTTGAACTAGGGCTGCTGATCTGGCTATGCTAAGGCTGGCCAAGAAGGGAACTAGGAGCAGGGCAGCTAGCGAAACCTGGGATCTAACTCAGGGGGAGAAATGAGAAGTTGTCCTTCTGGTCCACTGTACACGTATACCCAGGGAAGTACATGAACTTACATGCACAGGAGAGGTCCTGGTTCAGTTCCATTAATGCAGTGAGTGAGACTTGAAGTGCAGGCCAACCAGGTATTGTTAGGCACTTGGTAAGAGACTGAGGTGCTTATGGAAGTAAGCAGGGACTGATTACAAGTAGTCTGAAAGGGAGAAGCAGATAAGTTATACCCGGTACTAATTAGACAAGAAGCGTTTCCAGACACATCCCTTAGTGTGAGGGCACAGGGTCGTGCACGACAAGATAAAGGGCCACTTTTAAGTGTGGCCTCTACTCCTAAGCCTACATAATAAGGGGGTTTTGCTTTTAGACATAGCCAACAATCTTGGGCTAGTTTAGGCTGGGTGAGGTTAAGAAGGTGATGTACCCTGCCTAGTATGGACATCAGGCTGTGTTGAAGATATTGTTGCTGCAGCTGGGGTTTAGGAACTAGGAATGGTGGCGGAACAGTTAAATCGACCTTGTCAGGGTGTTTTTGGAACATAGGGTCGCCTAGATCAGTTAAAGGCCTGATTGGCTTGGGTGGGCTCCATGAGACCAGGATTTTCTTCTGGATGGCGAACATAGTCTTAACATCAAATCCTGGGATATAAAGCCTTAATCCTTATGACATGCCATAATACCATCGAGCTGAATTAGGGTCATGGACAGTTATAGTAAGAGGATTACAATTTTTTCTAGTACACAATCTAGGATGGGAAGCACGACTTATGGAAAGAGTTGAAGATCCGGTTGATCTCCCAGAGTTAAGTGTCTAAAGTTACACGTGTCCAATCAGGGCAGAAAAACTGGTAAATATCTCAACAGCTAGAGTCAGGGTGATTTCCAGGACAGAGGTAAAAGTCAACATTCTGAAGTCCTTTTTCCGCACCTTTGGAGCTCCCACATCCAGTCTGGCTCCCGGAGTGTCCAAATCCTGCCAAAAGGTCAACGCTTCCTGCCCCCTTGACTGTCAGATTGTGTTACTCTTTGTAGGTACGGGCTGGTTCTGGGAACAGTGCACATAAATCAACTGCAAAGGAGACTTCCTTGGAGGTTCCTGCCCTCCAAGTACTGTTTGCGAATATACGTCTTGTCATGAAATAGGTGAGAAGAAGGGAATAGGAAGGTGCAGAGGACATGACAGGCAAAAACCAAAAAGAGAAGTAAATAAAAAGAATTAATCTAATGGCTTCACCCGACTTAGGCACAGTTTTAAGGGGCCTGACCCAGGCTTGGGGACCTATGTTTCTTGCTGGGCTTTGTTGGCCTTTTTGATGCGGGAGTGACGAATCCAAGCAGGAATGCCATCCACCTTCAGAGCTGTTGGCATGGTGAGGATGACAGTATGAGGTCCTATGTAAGCAGGAGTGAGTCCTTCTCTCTGGAACTTTTTAACAAACACCAGGTCACCTGGCTGGAATGAGTGGCAGGGCCCCATCTGGTCAGGAACCGGATTGGGATGGGCTCCTCGGAAAAGTGGCTGGATGATATCTTGTACCTGTTGGAGAGACTTTAGCTACTGTAATAAATTAGCTTGTGATATTTCTGCCAAATTGGTATCCCTTAGCTTAGGCAAGATAGGTGGAGCCTTCCTATACATGATTTCAAAATGTGAAAACCTAGCCCAGTAAGGAGTGCACCTTACTCTAAGAAAGGCTAAAGGAAGGAGCCTTACTCAGTTCTCACCGGTCTCTAAGATTAACTTTGTAAGAGTGCTTTTTAGGGTGCGGTTCATGCGTTCTACCTGCCCAGAGCTCTGGGGTCGATAGGCACAATGGAGCTTCCATTGAATGTGTAATGCCTTACTGACTGACTGAGCTATGGACGAGGTGAAGGCCAGTCCGTTATCAGACCCTATGGCAGCAGGCAGCCCATGTCGAGGGATGATTTCATTGAGTAAAAACCTAACTACCATGGTGGCAGTCTCATTCTTGGTGGCAAATGCCTCAGTCCATACGGAGAAGGTGTCTACTAGTACTAGAAGGTATTTGTACCTAGCCCGGTGTGGTTTTATTTCTGTAAAGTCAACTTCCCACCTTTCTCCTGGCAAGTTTCCTCAAAGACGGTGGCCTGGGCTGGGTTTAGCACCTTGCTTGGCGTTTACCTGGGCACAAGTTGTACACCGGAGAGCTGCTTGATCTGCTAAGCTTTGAAGATAGGGAATCTTAAAATGGCTCTAGAGGAGCCGGGCCAGTTTTGCTCCTCCTAAATGGGTGGTAGAATGCAGGCGACTGATTAAAGTTTCCCCGAGAGAGCTCGGGGTATGAAGATTCTGGAGTCAGGAAGAATCCACCAACCTTCCTGATTTTTATTGGCCCTGAGATCTGAAGCTAGTTTTTTTTCTTCCGTTGAGTACGCGGGATTGTAGGGCAGATCTGGCTGTGGAAAGGAGACTGTGGGTAATAAGTTTAGAGGCATGACTGGAAGTCTGGCTGCATCCCGGGCCGCTGAGTCAGCTTTCTGGTTACCACGGGCAATGGCCGTGTTTTCTCCTGGATGTCCTTTGCAGTGGATTACAGCCACCTGCTGAGGGAGCCATACGGCTTCAAGCAGGGCTAGAATTTCTTCTTTGTTTTTGATAGTCTTTCCTGCTGAGGTGCCCACGCTCCTGATAGATGGCTCCATGTACATGTACAGTAGTTAAAGCATACCTGCTGTCAGTGTAAATGTTAATAAGTTTATCCTTACCCCATCGGAGAGCCTGAGTGAGGGCGATCAATTCAGCTTTTTGTGCCGAGGTATTTGCCGGTAAAGCCTGGGCCCATAGCACATCTGTCTTTGTAGTAATGGCTGCACCAGCCTTTCGTACTCCCTGTTTTGAGAAAGCTGCTACCGCCTGTAAACATGGCGGCGTCCACCTTCTTTAGGGGCACATCTTGGAGATCAGGTGGGCCAGTTTCTGTAGTTTCTAACAGTTCCTGGCAGTCATGGACAGGTGTAGTGAAGTCTGGATCAGGGAGTAAAGTAGCTGGATTTAAACACCTTCTGGGAGAGAAAGTCAAACGAGGCTGATCTAACAGTAAACTCTGATACTGCAGGATGCGAGCATTTGACATCCATTTGCCAGAAGCACTTCGTAATAAAGTCTCTACGGCATGAGGAGCGGTAAAGGTTAAATTTTGACCTAGAGTTAACTTATCAGCCTCTTAGACTAGGCTTGCTGTTGCCACTATGACTCGCAGACAAGTTGGCCATCCAGAGGCCACAGGATCCAGCCTCTTAGACAAATAGGCCACTGGGCATCTCCAGGGTCCTAAAGTCTGAGTAAGCACCCCCTTAGCAACTCCCTGGCTTTCGTGGACAAACAGGTGAAACGGCTCTGGGATATTTGGGAGGGCTGGAGCAGGGGCTTCAGTTAATGCCTTTTTCAGATTTTGAAAAGCCTGTTCTTCTGTGTCCATCTAAACTAGCCGGCTATTCCCTCCTGTAGCAGTGTACAGGGGCTTCGCAATCTCCGCGAACCCCGACATCCATAGGCGACAGTATCCTACGGCCCCCAGGAATTCACGTACCTGTCTCTTGGTGGTGGGAGTGGGGATTCGTAGGATGGCTTCTTTCCGGGCACTGGTGAGTGCCCTTTTTCCTTGGCTTATGTCGTATCCTAGGTAGGACACTGTGGGAAGACAAAGCTGGACCTTCTTGGCTGAGACTCGATACCCGAGCTCCTGAAGGAGGTAAAGTAGGTCCCTAGTATGTTGCAGGCAACTGTCTTTAGTTTCAGTAGCTAATAAAAGGTTGTCCACCTACTGAAGAAGAGTACAGTTAAGGTGACTAGCTTGGAATGGTATAGGATCCTGCTGGAGGGCCTCTCCAAAAAGGGTGGGGGAATTTTTAAAACCTTGAGGTAACTGAGTCCAAGTCAATTGGGTAGTGTCTCCTGAGCTAGGATCTGTCCATTCAAAAGCAAAGATCAGTTGGCTCTTGGGGGCCAGAGAAATAGCAAGGAAGGCATCCTTTAGGTCAAGGACAGTGTATATACTGTAAGTTCTGGCGGGAGCAGGTTGAGTAGAGTATAAGGATTGGGGACAGTTGGATGGACAGTAACAGTCTGTTTGTTAACTTCCCTTAAGTCCTGTACCGGCTGGTAATCATTCGTTCCGGGTTTCTGGACCGGCAAAAATGGAATATTCCAGGCGGACTGACACGGTGTGAGTATGCCAGCTTGTAACAGTCATTGAATATGGGGATTAATCTCCTGTCTAGCCTGCTGACTCATAGGATATTGCTTTACCTGGACAGGCAAGGCAGTGGCCAGGAGTTCTACAACCACTGGTGGATGGTGTTTAGCCAGTCCTGGGGGGTTTGACTGGCCCAAACTCTGGGAAAGAGTGTCTGTAAGTCCAACAGGAGAGGATTAGTATTATTTTCCAGTGGTTGTGATGGTGACACTAAAAGATTTTCCTCTGACAGAGGGGTAGTTAGCAGGAGTTGGGCAGTGGGGGGCGCTGTATTTCCTAGCATGACGTTAGCCTGCTGGGCTGAGAAGGAGATAGAGGCCTGTAACTTATGGAGCAGATCTCCTCCGAGGAGAGGAAAAGGACACTCTGGAACCACAAGAAATGACTGTCTCACTCTTTTCTGTCCCAAGCTCACTTCTCGTGAGTGTGTGACAGGATATTCCTGAATAGCTCCAGTAGACCTTTGTACAGCCACTCTTTTATTAGAGACACTGCCCAAGGGGGTCTGTAGTACCGAGTGCTCCGCCCCGGTAGCTACTAGGAAGCGTACAGGCTGGCCCCTCACTGTAGCGGTCACCGTGGGCTCCTGGGGGCCAAGAGAGAGGGAGTCCTGGCTCCATCAGTCATCAGACTCTTCCGTTGCGGGGAGGGTGAGGGCCTTTTTCTTTTCTGATTTTTCCTCTGGCCGTAGTGGGCATTCCTTTTTCCAGTGCCCAGTCTGCTTGCAATAAGCACATTTGTCCTTTTCTAGGGGAGCCTGTTCTCCTCTTTTGCCCTTCTGGTAGGGACCTGAGGTTCCCTGGCTATTCCTCTGTGATGGGGGCCTTCCCTTCTTGACCTCTCCGATGGCCGCAGCTAAGATTTTTGCTTGTCTTTTGTATGCTTTATCAGCTGCTGCCTGTGCTGTTTGTTTTCTTTTTTCAAACTCTCGATTGTCAAAAACTTTTTGGGCTATCTCTAAAAGCTGAGTGATATTCATCCCAGGAAATCCCTCCAGTTTTTGGAGTTTTCTTTTAATATCAGGGGCTGCCTGAGCCACAAATGCCAAATTAAGAGCACGGCTATTTTCGGGAGCCGCCGGGTCAAAAGAGGTGTAAGTCCGATAGGCCTCCTGGAGGCGTTCTAAAAACGCTCCCGGTGACTCATCAGGCCCTGTGCGACTTCAGTCATCTTAGACAAGTTTATGGGTTTCTGAGCAGCTCCTTTGATACCTGCAAGGAGATACCGGTGAAAATCGTCCAAAGCTTTCTTCCTACCCGAGGAATTCGTGTGCCAGTTAGGCCGGGTAGAGGGAAAGACCTCCTCAAGAAAGTCTCTAGCTTCCTCCTCTGGCCTATTGGCTGATGTGAGGAAATACTTTCTGGCCTCTCTTCGGATATGTTCCCTCTCTTCAGAGGTAAAAAGGGTCAAAAGGAGCTGCTGACAGTCATCCCAGGTGGGCCGATGGGTCCGGAGCACAGACTCCATCAGTGAGATCAAGACCTGGGGCTTTTCAGAGAAGGGAGGATTATGAGCCTTCCAGTTACAGAGGTCAGAAGGAGAAAAAGGGACATAAACCAAGAATGGGGCTGAGCGCTCATCACCCGGAGGGACTTGTGCTTCTTTCCGCGGTAGAGGGGGGGCTACTTCCTCCTGCCGCGGCCGCAATCGAGAGGCAATAGGCGGCGAGCCTACAGGGGATGTAGTCGAGGAGACAAGGGAAGATTCTAAGGGAGCAGGACGGTTATAAGGCGGCGGAACTGAGTGGGGGAGACTCTCCTCTTCTTCAGAGGGAGGCAGTACAGGGTGAGCCGAACAGACTGAGGGTCCAGGCGGAAGTGCGGTCTGGCTCAAAACGACCTTGGAGGCAGAATTATGAATGGCGCATGAGCGGAGCCATGGTGGGGAGCTTCTGACCAAACTCAGCCATTGATCAATGTGGGGAAACTGATCGGGGTGGCCGGGAGTTCCAGCAACAACCCGCCACACAGCCTGAACAATTGCTAGGTTCAGTGACCCTACTGGGGGCCATCCGACTCCAAACTTTGGCCATTCTACTTCGCAGAGTGTCCGGAGTTTGCCTTTTTAAAGGCGGACCCCATAATCCTCTGAGAAGCCTAGAGAAAAATTCTGCAGCATACATTGGAGGGGGCTCCAATCCTTACAGGGCCGGGAAGAGGAGTTTCCCATTTTTGGAGGCAGTTTGACAAGGTTTGAGCAGGGATATCAAACCCAGCACGGACAGAAAAACTCATTCCCTAGGGGGCTGGAGTATCGGAAGAACAGAATTAACATAACCAGAAGGAGCCGAAAGACAACAATAGCTCACACTACTTGCCACAGGACGGTTAACTAGCTTTAAGATTGAGGGAGGTCGGGCGCAGTGGCTCACGCCTGTAATCCCAGCACTTTGGGAGGCTGAGGCGGGCGAATCACGAGGTCAGGAGATCGAGACCATCCTGGCTAACACGGTGAAACCCCGTCTCTACTAAAAATACAAAAAATTAGCTGGGTGTGGTGACGGGTGTCTGTAGTCCCAGCTACTTGGGAGGCTGAGGCAGAAGAGTGGCCTGAACCTGGGAGGCGGAGCTTGCAGTGAGCTGAGATCGCGCCACTGCACTCCAGCCTGGGCGACAGAGAAGACTGTCTCAAAAAAAAAAAGAATAATTATCCAAGATTGAGGGAGGAGGACTAGAGGCCAACCTTAGGTCTCCTTGGCTGGATGGACCTAGGCGTCCTCCCTCTTTCCCTGGACCTGTAGCCTAAATACTTTTGGTGTCTCCACGACTCAAAGGCAAATAGCTCAAATTCGGCCTTTTCTTTTAAGAGTTTGAGGAGTGAGAGCAGAGCCAAGTCCTGGAGACGCTGAACTTGCTGTGACACGGGAAAACGAGATGTACGGGGTAAGTGGTAGGGATGAGGAGGAAAAAGGGCCACTCGGATCTTTCCTAGGGTAGGAGAGTAGCCACAGAGGAATAGAATAAGGGTTTAAACGAAGTAAAGTGGTACGGGCGTAGGTTTCTCTGCACAGTGCCGTATTTAAGGGCACAGAAAAAGTTACGGGATGACAAAAGAGGTGAGCAAGGAGGTCTGCAGGGTGGCTATTTTGAACCTACCACCGGTTTAGTCTGGAGGTGGCCCAGTCACTTGGACATGGGGTATGACAATCTAAATGCCAGCAATCTTCATGGTGCCAGAAATCCCAAACAGGCGAATGTTCCTCACACTCGTTCCCGTTCCCGTAACAACACCTGATTTGTTTCTGACAGAAAAGGCAGGACTGGGATGGCCAGCCTAAGCGATTGATGAGAAATTTAACCTCCTGTGATAAAAAATCAACACTAAAGACCTTGAAGAAGTTCCTGCCCAGACGTCTTGGGCAGTATCGATGACCTGACATACGAAACTTTGACAACCACTAAACAGGACAATAGACACCGAGCAGGACAACAAACACAAAACAAACAATAGACCCTTGGGTATATAAACAATTATGGTAGGTTTTTATTAGACAGACAAGGGGAGGGGGTCCCATGATGGGATCAGTCAGATGCCTGCCTGGCCGCTCCCCCTGAGGGGACTTGGGCTTCTCTTAGCATTGGCAGGCAGGTATAAACCCCCGGCTCGGATGGAGCTATGCCCGATGCTGCCTTAAGCCTTATGAGGTCGCCACGGAACGGCAGGTGAGGGCCCACTCGAACTCCGTAGCTTTCGCCGTGGAGCTACAAACTGGGGATCCAGAGGCAGGCCCCTGGACTCCTCAGTCGTGCACACATTCACAAAGAGTTTATAACAATTTTTGTTATTTCCCGTTCTAAACAAAGGTCCCAGAAGACCTGAACGAGAGGAGGAGAAGAGATAGAGCAAGGGGGAGAGAAAGAAAAAGAGGAGGAGAGAGTGAGAGACTAGTCTTAATGGAGAGGCCGGCCTGCCAGAAACCAGGGCTCTATCCTCCAGCGTCCTGGAGTATGGATAGAGTCAAAGAGAGGGACACCGTCGTCAGGGCTGCCTCCCTCTCACCAAACCAGAACCAAAAGGCGCCTAACAGAAAAACCAGGGCTCTGTCCTCCAGCGCCCTGGAAAAGCGGGCAGTGTCAAAGACAGGGATGCCCTCGTCAGGGCTGCCTCCCTCTCACCAAACAGAAGTCAAATCTAACTTACCTGACCCCGGGGTCAGAAGCTGAGGACTCAGAGGTTGAATTTTGTGGGCACACACACACGGTAGTCGATCCGCTGTCCTCCGGAAGACGGTCGCCTTTCGGGGACCTGGAAAATTTTTTTTCAGGTGGCTCCTCGCCTATAAGCCGGCCGTCCCTCCGGGGGAGCCCGGAGCTAGCCCGGCTCTCGCCCAGTGGCGAATATATCTCGCTGGGGCTTCCAAAT
Source organism: Homo sapiens (assembly GCF_000001405.40). NCBI lineage: Eukaryota > Metazoa > Chordata > Mammalia > Primates > Hominidae > Homo > Homo sapiens. The sequence continues at coordinate 41,554 of NT_167244.2, forward strand.
GTTGTACCCGAGCGAGTTAGAGAAACGCCACACTTCGAGACGAATTTAAGAGTCCTTCATTAGCCGGCGACCGACAGACGACTAACGCTCGAAATTCTCTCGGCCCCGAGGAAGGGGCTTGATTTTCCTTTATACTTTGGTTTAGAAAGGGGAGGGGGAGCTTAGTTGCAGCAATTCTACAGAAGTAAAAGCATGCAAAAAAATTAAAAAGACAAATGGTTACAAGGAAACAAACAGTTCCAGGTGCAGGGGCTCTAAATCTATCATAAGGCGTTAGGTATGGGGGCTCTCCCGGACACAAACTCAAAGCTTTATGGTGTTATCTCTTGAGCGAAATCCTGGTAACTTCGTAAATTGCTTGCTTCAGTACCTTATCAGTTAATTGGACTCTTTGATATGTAAGAGTCAGCTTACACAAGTTAACTGCTTGAGGAAGGGGGTGGGTAAGGAGTCTTTGACGTCTTGTAAATGAAGGAGCCAAAAGGAGTACTTCCGGCTTTCTCAGCTAAGGAAGAGCCTATTCATGTGGAAACAAGGCTAGGCGATTAAGGGAGAGTCTAAAAACAAGGTTAGGTACTACAAAGTCGCGGTAAAATCGGTGTTAACTACGTGTGCAGCCACCTTTTCCTTAGTGCTATTCCTGAAGGAAATAATGTATACAGTGATCTATTTCCAAGACAAAGTGCCTTAAATTGGCTTAGGTCAGCAAAGTACAGAAGAAACAGGGTATACTAGGTCCCTGCTTGGATAGCGGATGCCTGCTTGTCGCCCCCCTCTTTCCTCCCCCTTCCCATCCCCCATCCTTGGTGGCCTTCACCCAAACAAAAACAGTTTAGTCTAAGATATAAGTTTACTAGTCTGCAAAATAGCTCACTTTGTCTGTTCTTATCAGCCTGCCCAGCTACTTAGGTCATAAGTCAAACACTTAAAGAGCCCTTGAGCTAACCAGGATTGCAATGCATTGTGGGCTGCAACAAAATGCAGCAAGACAACCCTAAAAAAGAGACACCTAAAGCCTTTGCCTAACAATCAGTAGGCAAACGCCGAGAAAATTGTAACCCCATAGCACTCAGCCTATGAGGAACCTGGGGAGGGACTTGCGCACTAGGGGACAAATTGCTTGTTGAAACTGTTCTGGGTGTGCCTGCACGCCAGACACCCGATCTTGATCTCTCAAGACCGTCATTAAAAGTCTCACTTTCGCTGTTCTCCGGGTCTCTGAGTCCATTCTTTGGGTTTAGATGGATGAGTTTATTTTCTCACATAACAGCTGCAGAGGTGGTACAGGTGAATCCCTCTCAAGTCAAGTGGGTTAACCTCAAAATTGACTTAAGGGGTGGTTTGTGATCGCCTGGTAGATGGTGGACGGTTACAGCTTTTAGAAAGTGAGTAAAAGAGATGATGCATACAGAAGCCCCACTGGGTTGCTTAGCTTCTGCACATGGAGAAAGAGGCTGCTTTTCTGCCTTCTAGGTGTTTAGTAACTTAATTTTTAATCCTTTGATGAAATAGAGTGGAAAATAAAAGGAGATTTTCTTTTAACAAAATAGTGTTAAGATGCTTGCCAAGTATCCCCCTGTGAATTTCTGCTTAGCACTGTGATATCAGAATTAGAAATTGTGCAGGGTTCTAATCTGGAGATATGGGATGTTCAGTAGCTAAGAAGGAAGTTATTCCTTGAAAGTAAGTACAGTGAGGTAGAAAAGGATCCATTGGGATTGGGAGAATAAAAGTTCATTATTTTTATTTATTAAAAAAAACAAAACAAAACAAAGAAATGAGGTTTTGGCTGGGTGCAGTGGCTCACGCCTGTAATCCCGGCACTTTGGGAGGCCAAGGTGGGCAGATCACGAGGTCAGGAGATTGAGACCAGCTTGGCCAACATGGTGAAACCCCATCTCTACTAAAAATACAAAAAATTAGCCAGGCGAGGTGGCAAGTGCCTGTATTTCCAGCTATTCAGGAGGCTGAGGCAGGAGAATTGCTTGAACCCAGAAGGCGGAGCTTGCAGTGAGCCAAGATCGCTCCACTGCAGTCCAGCCTGGGCAACAGAGTGAGACTTCATCTCAAAAAAAAAAAAAAAAAAAAAAAAAAAAAAAAAAAAAAAAGAAAGAAAGAAAAAAGAAAAAAAAAAGAAGAAACGAGCTTCTACCCTAGATGGATCTTGGACTCTGGAGTTCAGAGAGCTTGCCATTTCAGACCAGAAACTTCCTTAAAGAACCAAGAGAAGTAATTTTCTCCCTGCTAAATTTCAGCTGAGGTGATTGAGATCTTTTCCTCATTTGTCATTATATTTGTCATTTGTCCTTATGTTTGTAGTTAAATAGCTTGGATTAAGTTTCAGAATTTGTCGGTCTCTAATGGAAAAAGTGACCACCAGCACATCACCAGCAATCATCAGCCACTTGTAGTGGAATCTTTTAGTGAAAGCTTGCAGGACTTTTGCAACCTGGGTGAGGAAGCAGTTAGAAGAAAGTAAGAAACGCAAAAGAACTTGAGCCTTAACCTTCTGATCTGAAATCAGACTTAGGTCACAGAATTCAATGGTTTCTGACTATTTTATTTAAACTGGAAATCGGCGGGATGGCAAGGAATACTACTTGCTTCTATAGTGTGTGATCCACATTAGTGATTTGTGGAACTAATTAGGACAGGGGGATAATTCTAAGCAACAAAGAACTGTAAGTGAATGAACACGAATTATCTCCCTGTATGAGAGAGAAATGCAGAGGCCAACACAATTCCCTTGAATAGGTGGGGAATATCATGGAGAACTTCCTAAGGTGGCTCATAGGAAAAAAAAGAGTGGAAATACTGGAAGTTGAACGCAGGACCTCACGCATGCTAACCACGTGCTCTGTCCCTGAGCTATACCCCCGCAGGAGATCAGGAGCTTGGGAAAATGTTTTGGTGATCTCCGTTGCCTGAGTCTGTGCTCTGTGTCATCAAGACAATCACTGTATGTTTCCAATTCCACTGTTTATGAATTCCCGACACTAAGCGCCCTCTCTCTCTCTCTCTCTCTCTCTCTCTCTCTCTCTCTCTCTCTCTCTCGGGCATGGCTACACCAGGAGAAAGATATCTTGTGGTAAAAACAAAGGCATTGTTCCTGATGTTCCTGATTTGTGGTCAGTCCAAGATCAACTCACCCCAAAGTGGTCTCCCCATCATATTAGACTTTCTGGAGCATAATTCCATTCTATCCCTTGAGTGACCTCCGGCATACAACATTCTCTTGCAAATTTTCTGATTATAACTTTTTTCTTTTGACTCTGGGAAGCATCTTAGTGTTTCCCATAGTCAAAAAATAAAACTCAGGTATGTGTGAAAATACCCTAAAATTCAGTACAAATAGAGGCAAATTAACTGCATTTCAAAAGAATAACATAACCACATTGAAGAGGAAAGAACTGATATAAGAAAATGGTTTACACAGATTGTTGTTCTAATTGTGAGATCAAAAAGAACATCGAACAAATCTTAAACTCTATGTATCAGGATTATTTTTTGTAGAGTGAGGGCTGTAGCAATTCTGATATTTTGTGTGAATTTTAGGATTGGGAAATCGAGTGTCTGTTGTTGGAAACAGACTCTCACTGTGGGAGAAGAAGGAAGGTAAAGAATAGTCCTGTTGATACTGATGGGAATTAGAGGCATCAGTATGAAATTGTACATATGAAATTGTAAAATTTCCCCACAGATCTATCTGCTAACTGGGCCTAGAAGAAATGATACCTCAGAAGCAATGAGCAAAGATAACTCTGTATCTTGATTTTCAAATACCATTCCCTACTAAAAGGAACCAGAGATACTAATAGAAAGTAGCTATTAGTGTCAACTACACAGACTCCAGGACTGTGCCAGGGAAACTGCAAAATGAACCTAAGATATCTTGCCTTGCCAGAATGTAAGTGCTCAGAAATGACGGGGGTGATTTAAAAGGACACAGAAGCCAGCTTGAAGGGAATCTCACTGGCCAAATCTGACACACTTTTAGCATCAGTGATGACAATAACTGATTATCATTCTTGGGAACTTAAACAAATAAATATGGAGGACGGGACGATTTTCCTTACAGTGGTTTGCCAAATGATAAATGTGAAAGTGAGTGCCGGGCGCAGTGGCTCACGCCTTTAATCCCAGCACTTTGGGAGGCTGAGGCGGGTGGATCACGAGGTCAGGAGATCGACACTATCCTGGCTAACACGGTGAAGCCCCCTCTCCACTAAAAATACAAAACCTTGGCCGGGCGTGGTGGCGGGTGCCTGTAGTCCCAGCTACTCGGGAGGCTGAGGCAGGAGAATGGCGTGAACCCGGGAGGCGGAGCTTGCAGTGAGCCAAGATTGCGCCACTGCACTCCAGCCTGGGCGACAGAGCGAGACTCCGTCTCAAAAAAATGAACAAAGAAACAAAGTGAGGATAAAATTTAAAAATCCCCATTTAAACAATACCATCAGAATGATGATAGATGCAGGCAAAATTTGTAAGTTAATGTTAAAGTATAGGTAAAAATTTGATGAGGATCAGGATATTTACGTAGTCTCAGAGTATTTCCCTGTAGATTATTTATTAATTACAATGAGGAAAATGATAATTTTTCAGGGAAGAAACAGTAATTACAAACTTAAAATCAAGTGATCAAGCTAACTTCAGTCAGCTCATGCCTCTTGGTGTGAGAGAGGGTAATAACGTGATTTCTGTGACATTTCTCCCAAATTCCATAACCCGATGTAATCTTATCATGGCTAATACAGATTAAGAAACGTTGCACAAAACCACTGGAAAAACTCTTCAAAAACATGTCGGTGTTGTGAAAGACAAGAAGATTAAGAAACTGTTCCAAATTAAAGGGCACTAAAGAGTCAAGACAACTAGATTCATATGTGATTCTGAAATGGATCCTAGCTTGGAAGAGAAATTTCTATAAAAGTTTTTATTGGTACAATTAGACAATTTTTAATAGACTTTATATTAGACTATATTCACATTTATCAATGTCAAATTTACTGAACTTGATAATTGTGTTGTGTTAAGGAATTGACCTTTTTCTTAAGAAATACACATTGAAGTATTTAAGAATAAAAAGATATGATGTCTGAAAATCATTATCAAATAGTTTAGAGAAATAATCTTTGTCTGATATATATATATAATACATACTACATATATATGATATGTATTCCAGTATTGTTGATTTGTCATTGAGGAAAAGATGTTTTGAAATTATCCCAAGATTTGAACAATATATGCTTCTCAGATGGTCCCACTTTATTTTAAATGTTGCAAGGCAGAGACAAAGGTACAAATTTCTCAATTTGTATTAGAATTTAGAAGGTGTTTTATTCTATTTTCCTTGTCACACTCCTTGCTTGTGAGTCAATCAACTAAGGACATCTGAAAGAGACAGAGTTTCTTTCTCAGAGTCAGGAGGTAATGAGGGGCTGCTCTGGTAGGGAAAGAAATAGTGAAGTTCTTTTTTGGAGAAAAGCAGCAAAAAAAAAAGAGAGTGACAGGAGAAAAAGAAAGAAAGAATGGAAGGAAGGGAAGGAGGAAAAGAAACAGTAAAGTTGACAAACAGAACTCCCTTCCCTCTTTATTAGTCTTCAGGAAATATAGAGTTTGAAACTATCATAGCCCAGGAAACCCTTTAAATAGGGCCATCAGTAGGCCAGAAATTTTGATTAGTGCCTTGAAAATAAAAGCATAGCCGGGCGCGGTGGCTCACGCCTGTAGTCCCAGCACTTTGGGAGGCCGAGGCGGGCGGATCACGAGGTCAGGAGATCGAGACCATCCTGGCTAACACAGTGAAACCCCGTCTCTGCTAGAAATGCAAAAAATTAGCCTGGCGTGGTGGCGGGCGCCTGTGGTCCCAGCTGCTCGAGGAGGCTGAGGCAGAGAATGGCGTGAACCCGAGAGGCGGAGCTTGCAGTGAGCTGAGATCGCGCCACTGCACTCCAGCCTGGGAGAGAGAGCGAGACTACGTCTTAAAAAAAAAAAAAGAAAAAAGAAAGAAAGTAAAAGCAGAAGTGATTAGACGGACAGGAAACAGCAGAGGAAATGGCTGCTGTTTCACTACAGTTAAAATGTCTTACACATCTGTGAACTATTTGTCCTCTTCTCAGAGGAGGGACACTTTTTTAGGTACTAAAAAAGAATTGTCTGGCACTTCATGGCAGCAACATGTTTGATGTTAACTGACATTTCCAGACATCCAGGTATGATTTTTATTTAGCGACTTTAAAAGAAGGATGAGAAAAAAAACAAAAAAACAAAAACAAACCATGAGCCAGGCGTGGTGGCCTGCATCTATAGTCCCAGCTACACCTACTCAGGAGGCTGAAGAGGAGGCAGGAAAACAGCTTGAGGTCAGGAGTTGGAAGCCCCAGTGCTCTACGATTGCCCTGGTGAATAGCCACTGCACTCTAGTCTGGTCATCAAAACAAGATCCCGTCTATTAAAAATAGAAAGAAAATAAAGGAAGAAAGAAAAGAAAGGAAGGAAGAAAGAAGGAAGGAGCGAGAGAGAAAGAAAGGAAGGAGAGAGGGCAAAAGGAAGAAAGGAATGGAGGGAGGGAGAGATTGACAGAACAGATTAGAAAACATAATCCAACTATACACTATCTAAAAGAAACTCATTTCAAATATAATTATATAAGCAGGCTGAAATTAAGGGGATAAAATATATTACATGCAAAAGTTAATCAAAAGAAAGCAAAAGTGACTATATTAATATAAACTTAAGAACAAAGAAAATCCACCAAGAAGGCATAACAATCCTAAATATGTATACACCAAACAGCAGAGCTGCAACATGTAAAAAAAAAAAAAAAAAAAAAAAACAGGACCGGGCGCGCTGGCTCACGACTGTAATCCCAGCACTTTGGAAGGCCGAGGCGGGCGGATCACAAAGTCAGGAGATTGAGACCATCCTGACCAACATGGTGAAACCCCATCTCTACTAAAAAAAAAAAAAAAAAAAAAAAAAAAAGCTGGGCGTGGTCGTGCGCCCTGTAGTCCCAGCTACTCGGGAGGCTGAAGCAGGAGAATTGCTTGAACCTGGGAGGCGGAGGTTGCAGTGAGCCAAGATCGTGCCACTGCACTCCAGCCTGGGCAACAAAGTAAGGCTCTGTCTCAAAACAAAACAAAACAAAACACCCAGACAGGGCGCAGTGGCTCACGCCTGTAATCCCAGCACTTTGGGAGGCCGAGGTGGGCGGATCACCTGAGGCCAGGAGTTGGAAAGTAGCCTGGCCAACATGGTGAAACCCGTCTCTACTAAAAATACATACATTAGCCGGGCATGGTGGTGCAGTGGCGTGCACCTGCAGTCCCAGCTACTAGGGAGGCTGAGGCTCGAGAATTGCTTGAACCCGGGAGGTGGAGGTTGCAGTGAGCCGAGATGGTGCCACTACACTCCAGCCTGGGTGACAGAGCGAGACTCTGACTCATAAATAAATAAATAAATAAATGTAATACATAAATAAATATTTTAAAAAACAAAAAAGATAGAATTAAAAAAATCGACAAATGCAGTTACATTAGAGACTTCACTTCTCTCTCTCTCTTTTTTGTGAATTTGTTCTTATTGGGGAAGACGGCACAGGGTGGGAAATGTCGCCTTGGGCTATGGTATGCCCCACCTCCCAGAGAATGTCCATTTGCATTCTAATCTTCCTGGGATGCTTTATGGAACTTTTTCTTCTTCTTGGAGCTGCTCTTGCCAGCCGCCTCTTCAGGCCCACTGCTGACCAGCTCCTCTTTGGAGAATTTCCTCGTTTTCTTGGAGCCACTTCTGTGGCCTGACTCTTCGGTGTCATTAACTGTTTCCTCCTTGGGTGAAGACTTCTTCCTCTTGGGAAGACTGGTGCTGCCAGCGGTCTCTTCAAGATCGCTACTCATCAACTCCTCCTTGGAAAAAGATTTCTTTTTCTTGGGTTTGGAGAAAGAGATAGATGGGTCTTCCATTCCATTCTCCTGATGAATCTCCTGGGGCTTTTGCTTTTTCTTCTTTTTGGGTTTTTCAATCGTCTCCTCACACGCTCTGTCGCCCAGTCTGGAGTGCAGTAGCGCAATCTTGGCTCACTGCAAGCTCCGCCTCCCGGGTTCACGCCATTCTCCTGCCTCAGCCTCTGCGTAGCTGGGACTACAGGCGCCCGCCACCACGCCCGGCTAATTTTTTGTATTTTTAGTAGAGACGGCGTTTCACCATGTTAGGCAGGGTGGTGTCCATCTCCTGACCTGGTGATCCACCCGCCTCGGCCTCCCAAAATGCTGGGATTACAGACGTGAGCCACCACGCCCGCGCCATTTCTCTCATAATAACAGAAAAACTACACAGAAAATCTGCAAGGATATTGAAGAACCCCAAATCATCTTCAGGCAACAGAATTCAGTCACCATGTATAGAACAGTCCACACAAGAAAAGCAGAACACGCATTCATTTCAAATTCATACGTAACGTAGATCAAGATAGAACATACCTCATACCTTGGGCCTCAACAAATTTAAAAGAATTGACTGACATAGTATGATCCCTAACCACAATGAAATCAAACTAAAAATCAGTCACAGAAAGACAACAAAAATATCCAAACACTTGGAAAATGAACAACACACTACTAAATATTCCATAGGACAAAGAGAAAGCCTTAGTAGAGATCAAAAAAATAAATTAACCTGAATAAAAATGAAAACACAATGTATCAAAATTTCCAAGACAACTTAATCTCTGAGAGAGAAATTTACAGCACTAAGTGCATACATTAGAAAAGAAAAAAGTCGGCCAGGCGCGTGGCTCACGCCTGTAATCCCAGCACTTTGGGAGGCCGAGGCGCGTGGATTACAAGGTCAGGAGTTGGAGACCAGCCCGGCCAAAAAAAAAAAAAAAAAAAAAAAAAAAAAAAAAAAAAAAAGAAAGAAAAGAAAAAAGTCTCAAATCAGTCCTTTAAGCTCTTACTTGAAGAACTCAGGTGGGGGAAAATAACCCAAAGCAAATAGAAGAAAGGAAATGAGCAGAAATAAACGGAACTGAACACACACGCACAAAATAGAAAAACAAACAAAAAGCTAGTTCCTTTAAAAGATCAATAAAAGAAGACCTCTAGGAGGACTGATAATTTTTTAAGAAGAGAGATGACACAAATTGCCAATATCAAGAATAAAAAGAAGAGTATATCACTATAGACTCTGCTGACATCAAAAGGGTAAATGAATACTATGAACAACACTTTACACACAAATTTGAAAACTTAGATGAGATGGACTAATTCCTTGAAAATCACAAACTATCACAACTCACTCAATATGAAATATATTTTTCTATAACCTTGTAACTACTAAGGAAATTAAATTTGTGATATAAAAACTTTAAAAAAAAAACAGACTCTTCAGGTTCAAGAAAGTTTCACTGTATAATTCGTCGCCCCCGCCCTCCACCCCCTCCCCCAGAAGGAGTCTTGCTGTGTTGCCCAGGCTGGAATGCAGTAGTGCAATCTGGGCTCACTGCAACCTCCACCTTCCAGGTTCAAGCGATTCTCCTGCCTCAGCCTCCCAGGTAGCTAGGATTACAGGCACGTGCCAGCACGCCCGGCTAATTTTTGTATTTTTAGTAGAGATGGGGTTTCACCATGTTGGCCAGGCTGGTTTCCAACTCCTGGCCTCAGGTGATCCGCCTGCCCCGGCCTCTCAAAGTGCTGGGATTGCAGGCATGAGCCACCGCCTATGCCAATGTAGGCATATCTTAAAAGGATACATGACCTGGGGATACTTTGAGTATTCAGATTAATTAATTTTTAAAGTGTTTTTTAAATTCTCCCTTCTTACATCTTCTTTTCCTTCTGCCTTCAAGGGCTGTCACACGAAGAGTAGCGTAGGTGGATAAAAAAACAGAATGGTCAGTACCGCCTGGGGGATTTAGGTCCAGGTGAGGAGGTGAGAAGGTGGAATTCCCAGCTCTTAGAAATGAAGACCCAGGAAGTGGGTCGCTGCCTGTCCTTACCCTCGCCAGCCCCTGGGCCGGCACCGTGGCTGAAACCCAGCATGGATTTCATCTTGGGGACGTTGTGGCTCCAGTTTTGAGACTCAAGTAACGATGGATGGAGAGGAGAACAAGGACCACCTGAGCTCGACCACAAGAGCTCGAGGAGGGAAGCAGGGACGCGGTGGGGTGCGCACCTGCGGCTGCGGCAGCAAAGGCGGAGGAGGAGCGAAGTGGACGAGCACCCGAGGCTGCCAGAGGATCTGGGCAGCCTGGGTGCCCATCTCTGCTGCGTTTCCTCGGTGTCCACGATAGGTGAGAGGGCTCATTCCCTGTAGGAGAAGTGAGCTGAAAACACTTTCCCCGCAAGATCTCCCTCGTTTTACTCAAGGTAGTCGCGGCGTTGAGAACGCCTCGCAGCTCCTTTACTGGCTGGGGTACTGGGGAGCAGGGGTACCCTTGAGTTTTGGTACAGGCGGGTGGTATTGGTGGCTTCCGAGGAAAGGACAGAGAAGCCGCCTATTTCCAATCCCTACTGTTCGTCAGGGGGAGAGTGTTGAACCAGGTCTCTCTAGACCCTCCTGCTTAAGCCCCTTTGTTATAGGTAGGAGAGTGTGTTCTGTTTTGGTATTTGAGTGTGTGTGTGTGTGTTTAGCTTCTTGAGCTTGGAATATGTCATGAAATACAAGAAAGATCAGGGAGTCTCAGTATATTTTAAACTTAAATTGGTTTTCAGAAGTACTTATACCTTGTTCCTAAGGAATTCAGGGTGTCCAGATTTCAACCTGCCTAGCAGTGCGAAGCTCTATGAGTCGAATATCCTAGGCTTTCTTCCATATCAGCAAGCCTCTGAAATTTAGGTTTCTTTCTGGAGAATATCACCCACACTTTGGCAGTGGGCTCCTACATTGCCTACATCCAACTCTTGGAAGCAAGAAGAGTGGGCAAAACCAAGGTCACCACACAAAAGTATATCCCTACACGAGATAAGTGGAAATAAAGCACTGGCTTAGGTGTGGAGAGGAAGAGACAAATGTGAAAACGCAGAAGGTAGACAGACAGAGAACATCTTCCAAGGAGGAAGAGTCTCCTAACCACAAGGAACTCTCTACTTAATGCTGCGAAGATATTTTAATTACATTTTATGCATTAGATTGCTTTTTTTGTTTGTTTTTGTTTTTTGTTTTTGATGGAGTCTCGTTGTGTCACCAAGCTTGAGTGCAGTGGTGCCATCTCGGCTCACTGCAATCTCCGCTTCCCAGGTTCAAGGGATTCTCCTGCCTCAGCCTCCCCGTAGCTGGGACTACAGGCATGGCCATCATGCCCAGCTAATTTTTTATTCTCCTGCCTCAGCCTCCCCGGCCACCATGCCCAGCTAATTTTTGTATTTTTGGTAGAGACGGGTTTCACCATGTTGGCCAGGAATGTCTCGATCTCTTGACCTCGTGATTCACCCGACTTGGCCTCCCAAAGTGCTGGGATTACAAGCATGAGCCACCGCCCCCAGCCACATAGACTGGGTTTTTAACAACTGGATCTTAGACCAGAATATTGGCAGAATTGGTGGGGGCTTGACAGAGAGCAGGGTGAATTCCAACCCTGAGGGTGGAGCAAGAATGATTACAGTGTCTTCCTCAGAGCTTAGAAACTTCCAAGCTCTAAGGAAAGGCCTTAGGTTTCAAATTGAAAGGCCAAAATAGCTTGAGATGGCTCCAGGTATTTTGGCTGGAAAGAGTCTCCTGGCTCTAAAGAACCCCTGTGAGTTCTTCTACAGGAAAATCAGAGGCTCTTGTGTGTGATCTCTAGTCATCTAAAATATTGAAGGTCTCAAAGAGGTAATAAATCCACTCTCATCCTGATGTAATGCAAATACGTCACTGGCTTTCCTACGTGGTTTGAGTTTTTTATTGAAAATAGGCAGGGAACCCCGGGAGCAACTCTTTCTCCTTAGCAAGCATCTGGCCCTGAACTCCTTCTGAAACTTCTAGAGCAGTGCTTCTCAAACTTTAGCATCAGAGTCACTTGAGGGCTTATTCAACACAGGTGGCTGGGTCCCACTCTCATCAATTCTGATTCTGTAGATCTGAGGTTGGGCCTGGAATTTGACATTCCACTAGTAGCACCCTAATCCCTCATGCCTTGCTCTCCTGTGCAGCATCCTTTGTGGCAAACATGACACTATTTCCTTAAAGTGCCTGGAGAGAACCAGTAGATAGTAGGGGGGAAATATTAAGAAATGAAAAGAAAATATATGGCATCTCTTCGTTACCTGTCTCCAAAAAATGCATCTTGAAACAAACATATGATTGGCCTGGGGGCACACAGCCAATCCTCAGCTAAGCAGGTTTCACCAGACAGTATCCCTCCTGGATACTGGTTATGGATATTTTCACCGGATAAAAGAATCAAGAAGTGAGGACATCCCAGCCTGATAGAGTGTTAGACTGGTGGATGGTGACAAACATCATACTCTGTTGCCTCTCAAAGATGCTTTGATTCAACAGCAAACATGTACAGAGGACAGCAATTTTGAAACATACAACATTGGAAACCCCTAAAAGGTATCATCAGTGAATAGGATTTCCTGGGAGTTCCCTGGTCATGCAATGCAATTGTGATGGGATTGACAGAGAAAGAACAAAAAAAATTTGTTTTCTTTTGTTTTTACCTGAGGAAGTGCTCAACACACCTGCGATCCACTCACCTTTTACTTTGCGTCTATTTTCCATTGTGACAGAAAAACTTTTCCTACTTTTTCACATGAGTCCTCCGTTGGCTGTTAACAGAGGTTTCCAGGCAATGTTTTATTTTAACAAGGAAAATGGAATGGCTGAGGAAATACAGGAAAATGAATCAATTGTATCAGTAGGGAATGTTGATCCGTATTGGTTTCTGCTCCTCTCATGTTGAAGGTCTCTTATTCCCTGACAGTCTTTGTTCGGTCATCCAGCGTCCTTCCACTCCCATCTCAAGCGGCTGGAGAGCCACAGCAGTCCTTGTCTCAGTATTGGATTACACTTGTGGCTGTGCTTTCTGCGCAGGTTGACAGGGAGAGACTGGAGGAGAAATCAGTGGACAGATGCTTTCGCTCTGTTCTTTGGCCCAGAAAACAAAACTAAAGTAAAAAAAAACAAAAAACAAACAAACAAAAAAGATGATGCTGGGAGCGGTGGCTCACGCCTGTAATCCCAGCACTTTGGGAAACTGTGGCGGGTGGATCACCTGAGGTCTGGGGTTCGAGACCAGTGTGGCCAACATGGTGAAACCCCGTCTCTACTAAAAATACAAAAATTACCCGGGCCTGATGGCACGCACCTGTAAACCCACCTGCCGAGGCAGAAGAATCGCTTGAACCCGGGAGGCAGCGGTTGTAATGAGCCAAGATTAAGCCACTGCACTCCAGCCTGGGCTACAGAGCGAGACTCTGTCTCCAAAAAAAAAAAAAAAAAAAAAAAAAGAATGGCCGCGGGGCGCTTTTCTCCCTTCTTCTTTGTCTTTCCTTCTCTTTAATCATAGCACAAAATGAGAGCAAATGTGAACCTCCCGTGGATGTGCACACTTTTGTTTGGGTTCAAGAGACCCTGTTGGGATCCCATTCTTCTTTCTTCCTCATTTCTTTTTCACCTTCCTTCTGCCGTCACAATCGCCTTCAGTGATGTCGAAGCTCACGGCATAGAAATGGGTTATAAATGGAGGCAACCCATTGGGTTACGTCTTTACTCTCTATATGTGCAGAAATAGGACAGAAAAAGGTGCGGAGGCAGAAGTAAGTCTATGTTGCTTGAGAATTAGGTTTGAGCACTACCAGAGCAAAAAGTCACCGTTTGGAGGTGCCGGGGATCGAACCCGGGACCTCATACATGCAAAGCATGCGCTCTACCACTGAGCTACACCCCCTTCCTGAAAAAAATCCTTCTTGTAATAATTTCCAGGAGGTAACTTTCTTTTTCTGAGTATTGTGGAGCGTCTGCAGCTGCTGTGAGTAGAAGATACTAGGTACTAACGGGGGATACAAATTATTTAGAATACAGTATACGACTTGAAATGGAAGGCGCCTGTAATCCCAGCTACTGGGGAGGCTGAGCCAGGAGAATCCTTGAACCCGGGAGGCGGAGATTGCACTGAGCCGACATCGCGCCACTGCACTCCAGCCTGGGCATCGGAGCGAAACTCAATCTCAAAAAAAAAAAAAATCACTTCCTAGGTTTCAGACTGTAAATAATTTATTTAATGTCAGCGCTTCATGGAAGACTTCACTGGAATATGCAACCAAAGCAGAGAGTGATGCATATATATATATATGCGTGTGTGTGTGTGTGTGTGTGTGTGTGTGTATTACCTTTATCGGATTTTCAACAGCAAAAAATTGGAGTTCTATACACCTTTCTGGGATTGGCATGCAAGTGTTGTATAAGGGTTGTATCAGCCGAGCGCTGTGTCTTACGCCTGTAATCCCAGCACTTTGGGAGGCCGAGGCGGGCCGATCACCTGAGGTCGGGAGTTCGAGACCAGCCTGACCAACATGGAGAAACTCCGTCTCTACTAAAAATACAAAATTAGCCAGGCGTGGTGGCGCATGCCTGTAATCCCAGCTACTCGGGAGGCTGAGGCAGGAGAATCGCTTGAACTCAGGAGGCGGAGGTTGCGGTGAGCCGAGTTCGCTCCATTGCACTCAGCCTGGGCAACAAGAGTGAAACTCCGTCAAAAAATAAATAAATAAACAAAATAAGGGTTCTATTAGGCAAAACTGAAAGAAAGAAAGAAAAAAAAAAAACCCTGCCGAAACCCGGGATCGAACCAGGGACCTTTAGATCTTCAGTCTAACGCTCTCCCAACTGAGCTATTTCGGCTTCCCGAATTTGTTGTTTTAGGTGTTTCTTCAAAATATAAAAACTCATTTGTAGGGTCAGTATATCTTCCAATTCTGTTGTCTTCAATATCACCTGTCATTCACTCACCCCTTCACCCCCAAAATATAGATTCTTCCCCAATTTATGTCTGAAAACAGGACCCAATTTTAAGGACAATGAATGGGTTAGCAAAAGCCAGGGAAAGAAAAGGCAAAAATGAAGAATAGAGCAAAGTAAGAACATGCTCCCCTACATGGTCACTGCTCAGAATACCAAGGGAATTCAAAAGAAAATTTTCTAGGCTTTTCCTTTTCTCTGGGCTCTTGTTTTTCTGTCTTGCTCTTCAACGATATGGCAAAAAGGAACAGAGGATTATTGGGCACGTTAATGTGGTGGCAGGTTTATAGCTTCTGACTAAGGAAATCCTGAGCGAGAAAATTCATTTTCGCTATTCCCTTCCTTTCACTCGTCTTGTGCTGACACATCCACCTTGGGTGGTACAGAGACCCAGGGAGTGGAAATGGAAAGTATAATATGTTTATTTTAGTGTGACCACGCAAGGCATGTTTTTAAAAGGAGAAAAGTACAGAGTGGCGAGAATTGTGAAAAACAGATGAACATGTATGCTTTTGAACTCTGTGCAAGGCAAGGACACACTACCACTGAGCCACACCTCTCTCGCTACAGAAACATCGTGAAGATCTTTTTTGACGCATTAGTCATATTTCTGAGAGGTCTTCAAAAATATGGTAAGTTGGCCGGATAGAAAATCCACTGTCTCATATCTCACTATTTCTTACCTCTAAACTATATCCCCTGAAGCTGCTAGGAGAAATGTAAGAGAATCACAGACCAGAACACAGTTTCTGCTTTTGGAACATTTCATCCCATCAGTTTATTCTGAGGTTTCCTCTCCAGCAAACTGCCTGGGGGCATTTTCTCCCACAGCCAACAGGTAAGATGTCCAGATGGAACTTCCTCTGGGGTCTTCAACCTGTCTGTCTCCATTTCTTCTCTTTCATCTGCTTACAAAGTTTTTCAAGCCCCATCCTCCTTAAGAAAAGATGATGAGCCACAGTCTAGGAGAAGATATTCCAATACTTATATTTTACTAAGGATCTTTATCTGGAATATGTTAAGAACTTCTACAAAGCACTAAGAAAAAGACTAAAACTTCAATAAGAAAGAGCAAATTAATATGAACTTCACAAAAAATCGCTATTGAGTAAAATAAAATATGCTCGACATCTTTTGCTATAAAGGAAATGCAAATTAAAAACACAACAATGCTGGACACAGTGGCTCACGCCTATACTCCCAGCAGTTTGGGAGGTCGAGGCGGGTGGATCACTTGAGGTTAGGAGTTCAAGACCAGCTGGCCAACATGGCGAAACCCGGTCTCTACTACAAATACAAAAATTTAGACGGCCACATGCCCCTGTAGTCCCAACTACTCAGGAGGCTGAGGCATGAGAATCTCTTGATCCTGGGAGGCAAAGGCTACAGTGAGCCAAGATTGTGCCGCTGCACTCCAGCCTGGGCAGCACAGCAAGACACTGTCGAAAAAAAAAACACAAAATAATATTGCTCTTCATTGGAATCATTTAACCCAAAAAGTGGATAATATCAAGTGTTGCTGAGTATGTGAAGCAATTGGAACGTGCATACATGGCTGATGAGACTGTAAACTGCTATATCTACACTGGGAAACTATCTGAAAATATCAACTAAATATATATATATATATATATATATATATATATATATATATATATATGCTATGACCCCAAAACTAGACGGTTACATTTATACCCAAGAGAAGTGCATGAGCATCTCCCTTGAAGGACATGTATCAGAATGTTTACAGCAGCATTAGACATTTCAACCAAAAACGAGGGGTGCTGCAAATGTACTTGGACAGTAAAATGAATTAATAAATCATGATGTACAGTATTCAGACAATAGAATACTCGAGAGCAACAGAAAATAACTACTGTTACTAGCAACAATATATAGAAAATGAAGGCTGGGCACGGAGGCTCACGCCTGTAATCCCAGCACTTTGGAAAGCTGAGGCGGGCAGATCACGAAGTCAGGAGATCGAGACCATCCTGGCTAAAACAGTGAAACCCTGTCTCTACTAAAAATACAAAAAATTAGCTGGGCGTGGTGGATGGCACCTGTAGTCCCAGCTACTCGGGAGGCTGAGGCAGGAGAATGGCGTGAACCTGGTAGGCAGAGCTTGCAGTAAGCCAAGATCGCGCCACTGCACTCCAGCCTGGGCGACAGAGCAAGTCTCCACCTTGAAAAAAAAAAAAAGAAGAAAAAAGAAAAGAAAATGAATCTAATTTTTTTAACAAAAATTAAGTGAAAGAATCCATACTCAAATGAGTACAGATTTGCTGTGGTTTGAAAGTGTCCCCTCCAAAGCTTAGGTGTCACCATGTGATAATTATCAAGACATAGGGCCTTTAAGAAGATTAAGCCATGAGGGTTCCTTCCTCATGAATAATATTAGGTACCCTTATAATAAGAGTTGACAAAGGAAGTTCATCTCTCTATTGCCTTCAGTTTTCTGCCATGTGAGAACACAACAAAAAGGCCATCACCAGACATGAGAGCCAGTGACTTGATCTTGAACTTCCCAGCCTCCAGAACTGTGAGAAAATGTTTCTGGGCCTGGTGCAGTGGCTGTCTCCTGTAATCCCAGGGTTTTGGGAGGCCAAGGTGGATGGATCACCTGAGGTCAGGAGTTCGAGACCAGCCTGGCAAACATGGTGAAACCCCATCTCTACTAAAAATACAGAAAAATTAGCTGGGCGTGGTAGCATTCGCCTGTAATCCCAGCTACCCAGGAAGCTGAGACAGGAGAATTGCTTGAATCCGGGAGGCAGAGGTTGCAGTGAGCCAAGACTGAGCCACTGCACTCCAACCTGGGCAACAAGAGTGAAACTCTGTCAGGAAGTGAAGGGAAGGGAAGGGAAGGGAAGGGAAGGGTTCTGTTCGTTACAAATTACCAGTCTTGAGTGATTTTGTAGCAGCCCAAAATAGACTACGATGATATTATATGATCCCATTTATATTATTTAAAACATAAGAAAAATAATCTATGGAGGTGGAGGTCAGAGAGTTAGGATAATTGAAATGAGGCAAAAGGCAGCTGTTGGTTGCTGAAAAATTCAGTATCTTGGCCTGAATTTTGGTTATATATAATAAGCCGTAAGCTGAATAGGTTTCATGTGTTTTATTTTATATAAATGAAGGCTTAAATTTAAATACAAGAAAAAAAAAGGTTTTCCTAAGTACTTCCTATCCTCCAGTACATTCTCTCTCTTCCTTAGGGTTGTTTTGTTTTGTTTTGTTGAGACGGAGTCTCGCTCTGTCGCATCCTCATGATTATTAGGACTTGGATGGACGGGATGGTACAGTGAGTCTAAGCGCCACATCCCTCCGTCGCTTCCTCTGGATATGAGGGAAGAAAGGTACTTTTTTTGTCCTTAGGGAGGAAGACTCGACCAGGAAGGGGACCTGGTTCGTTTCGGCTTCAAGAGCGCCTCTCCGCTATTTCCGTCGCTCAGCAGACCGGCTGAACTCTTTGGAGGAGAGAGTGATACTGGGTTTTGGTTTGCCCTTCAGGAACCGCTGATACTGTAGCTTCTGAGGGAGCTGCAGGGATTTCCCGATTTCCTGCGTGCCTGTGTTAAAAGTTAGAAGCGGGATCTGCTGGCAGCTTCGAAACTGAGCATGACGGTGGAAACATCTAATTTTATTAGTTTTTGCTTGAAATGCAAAAGATGAGAAAGAAAGTTTCCGTTTGTTTGCTCCACATATTTCTCTTAGAATGAAGCCGATTGAAAGTTAACTTCACCCTGAAGAAACTCCTCCTGGCGTTTGCAACGATCTCCTGTATGTCTCACGTCCAGCTTGACTCAAAAGGACTCTAAAGAGCTGGAGAGCGGCTGCGGAAAGGCGGAGTCACGGTACAATCGGTGTTAACTACTTGTGCAACCACCGCCTCCTTAGTCCTATTAGAGGCGCAGAGGCAGTATAGCTGAATCCCTCACAAGTCGAGTGGGTTGACCTCAGATTGACTTTAGCGATGGCTTGTGACCACCTGATAGATAGTGGCCGTTACAGCGTTTAGAAAGTGAGTAAAAGAAAGGATGCATAGGGAAGCCCACAAGTTTGCTTGGCTTCTGCAGATGGAGAGAGGTCGCTTTTCTGCCTTCTGGATGTTTAGTAACTTATTTTTTATTTCCTTTGTTGGCATGAAATAGAGCTGAAAATAAAAGCAGATTTTCTTTTAACAAGATAGTATTAAGATGCTTGCAGAGTATTTCTCTGTGGATTTCTGCTTGGCACTGTGATACCACAAAGAGCTCTAATCTGGAGGTATGGGTTGTTCCCTAGCTTAGAAGGAGGTCAATCCTGGAGAGTAAGTACTGTGAGGTACAAAAGGATCCTTTGGGATTGGAAAAATAAACGTTCATTACTTTTATTTATGTAAAACAGCAAAATGAGCTTTCTCCTATACTGATCTTGGTCCCTGGAGTTCAGAGTGTTTGCATCTCAGACCAGAAGCTTCCTCAGAGGACCCAGAGAAGTGCTTTTTACTTCCACCAAATTTCAGCTGAGGTGAATGCTGTCTTTTCGTCATTTGTTGTGTGTTTGTAGTTAAGTAGTTTAAGTTTCAGAGTTTGTGGGTCTCCAATGGAAAAGGTTACCACCACACATCAAACCATCAACCCCTGGCAGTGTAATCTTTTAGTGAAAGCTTGTAGGGCTTCTGCAACCTGGTTAGGAGGAGTTAGAAAAAGAAACAGAAAAAGACTTGAGCCTTTTAGCTTCTGATCTGAAATCAGACTTGGGCCACACAGGTCTATGGTTTCTGATGATTTCATTTACAGCTAGAAATTGGCTGGATGGCCAGGAATACTACTTGCTTCCCCCGTGCGTGGTCCATGTTAATGATTGATGGGACTGCTTAGAAAGAATAGGCGGATAATCCTAGGCAGCAAATAACCTCAAGTGAATGAACACGCATCACCCTCTGTATGAGAGAGAAATGCAGAGGCCAACACAATTCACCTTGACAGACAGAAAAATTTAAAGTTGGGGAATATCATGGACCGCTTCTTACTGGTGTCCCGGGGAAGAAAACACGGCCTGGAGGTACTGGGGATCGAACCCAGGACCTCGTGCATGCTAAGCACGCGCTCTACCACTGAGCTATACCCCCTCTGGACTCAGGGCCTTCGGAAAACGCTTTGGTGACGGCCAATATGTGAGCCTGCCCTCTGTGTCAGGATAATCACTATATGTTTCCAATTCCATTGTTAATTCCCTACATGAAGCGCTTCCTCTTTTAGGCACGGCTGGGCCAAAAGAAGAGTAGCTTAGCCGGGTGCAGTGGCTTATGCCTGTAATCCCAGCACTTTGGGAGGCTGAGGCGGGTGGATCACGAGGTCAGGAGTTCAAGACCAGCCTGGGCAAGATAGTGAAACCCTGTCTCTACTAAAAATAGAAAAATTAGCCGGGCGTGGTGACAGGCGCCTGTAATCCCAGCTACTCTGAAGTAGAGAATTGCTTGAACCCGGGAGGCAGAGGTTGCAGTGAGCCGAGATCGGGCCACTGCACTCCAGCTTGAGCGACAGAGCGAGACTCCGTCTCAAAAAAAGAAAGAAAGAAGAAAGAGAGAGAGAGAGAGAGAGAGAGACAGAAACAAAGAAAGAAAGAGAGAAATAAAGAGAAAGAAAGAAAGAGAAAAGAAAGGAAAGTAGCTTAGTGGTAAAAATAAAGGCACTGTTCCTGATTTGTGGTCAACCCAAGATCAACTCACCCCAAGGTGGACTCTCCATCACGTTAGACTTCCTGGAGCATACTTGCATTCTATCATTTGAGTGTGTCCCGGTATACAACATTCTCTTGCAAATTTTCTGATTATAACTTTCTGTATTCTTTTGACTCTTGGAAGCATGTTGGTGTTTCACATAGTCAAAAAATAAAACTGACTCAAGTGCGTGTGAAAATACCTTAAAATTCAATACGAATAGAGGCAAATTCAAATGGCGTTGTCTATCGCTTCTCGGCCTTTTGGCTAAGATCAAGTGTAAAATTGCATTGTGAAACAATAACATACTCCTACTTGAAAAGGAAAGAACTGATCTATGAAAATGGTTTATACAGTTTGTTGTTCTAATTGTAAGATTAAAAAGAATTGCAAACAAATCTTGAACTCTGTATCAGGGTTATTTTTGTAGAGCTAGGGCTGTAAGAATTCTGAGATTTTGTGTGAATTTTAGGATTGGGAAAATGAGTGTGTGTGACCGGGTGTGTTGGAACCAGGCTGTCACTGTAAGAGAAAGAAGGTAAAGAATAGTCCTGTTGGTGTTGATGAGAATTGGAGGCGTCAGTATGAAATTATACATATGTAATTTTATAGGCTGGGCGCAGTGGCTCACGTTTGTAATCTCAACACTTTGGCAGGCCAAGACGGGCAGCTCACTTGAGGTCAGGAGTTCGAGAACAGCCTGGCCAACATGGTGAAACCCCCGTCTCTACTAAAAATACAAAAATTAGCCGGATGTGGTTGTGCGTGCCTGTAGTCCCAGCTACTCGGAAGTCTGAGGCAGGAGAATCGCTTGAACTCAGGAGGCAGACGTTGCAGTGAGCCAAGATCCTGCCACCGCACTCTGGCCTGGGTGACTTAGACTTTGTCTCAAAAAAAAAAAAAAGTAAAATTTCCCTGCAGATCTGTCTGCTAACTGGGCCTGGAAGAAATACCTCAGAAACAATAAGCAAAGATAACAATATTTTGATTCACAAATACCATTCCCTACTAAAAGGCACCAGAGATACTAATAGAAAGTAGCTACTAGTGTCAACTACACTGACTCCAGGACTCATGCCACTGCACTACAGCCTGGGCGACAAAGCGAGACTCTGTCTCAAATAAATAAATAAATATGGAAGATGGGAAGATTTTCTTTACAGTGGTATGCCAGCTAATAAATGTGGAAAGAAGGATAAAATTTGCAAATCCCCATTAGAAAATTAGAAAATCTGGACACCATCAGAATGCTGATAGGTGCAGGCAAAATTATAAGTCAATGCTAAAAGTATAGGTAAAATTTTGATGAGGATCAGGATATTTATATAGTCTCAGAGTATTTCTCTAGAGCTTACTTATTGATTACAATGAGGAAGATGATACTTTTGCAGGGAAGAAATAGTAGTTACAAACTTAACCAAATGATGAAAGCTAACTTCACTAATAATGGGGAAAATTGGCATCACATGCTTCTTGGTGTGATAGAGGATAATATGATTTTTTGTGACATTTCTTCCAATTTCCATAAACTTAATCTTACCATGAGTAGGACAAATTAAGAAATATTCCACAAACCACTGGCATATACTCTTCAAAAACATTATCAAAGTTGTGAAAGACACAATTGAGCAACTGTTCTAAATTAAAGGAGACTAAAGAGTCAAGACAATTAGATTCATATGTGTCTGTGAAATGGATCCTAGCTTGGGAGAGAAATTTCTATAAAAGATTGTATTGATACAATTAGTTAAATTTTTATAGATTGTATATTAGATAATGCTATTTTATCAATGTTAAGTTTACTGAATTTGATAATTGTGCTGTGTTAAGGAACTGATCTTGTTTTAAGAAATACACATTGATGAATTTAGGGATTAAAAAGATATAATGTCTGAAAATCATCAAATAGTTTAGAGAAATAATCTTTGAGATCTCTCTCTGTGTCTCTCTCCATATATATATATGGAGTGTATATATATATATATATATATATATATATGGAGTATATATATATATATATATATATGGAGTATATATATATATGGAGTATATATATATATGGAGTATATATATATATATGGAGTATATATATATATATGGAGTATATATATATATATGGAGTATATATATATATATGGAGTATATATATATATATGGAGTATATATATATATGGAGTATATATGTATATATATATGGAGTATATATATATATGGAGTATATATGTATATATATATGGAGTATATATATATATATGGAGTATATATATATATATATGGAGTATATATATATATATATTCCATTGTTGCTGATTGTTTGGTTGAAGAGGCAAGATGGTCTGAAATGATCCCAAGATGTGGACAATATGTGCTTCTCATGTGGTTCCCATTCCATTTTAAATGTTTCCAGGCAGAAACAAAGATACAAATTTCTCAATTTGTATTCAAATCTAACAGGTGTTTTATTCTATTTTCCTGTTCACACTCCCTGTTTGGGAGTCAATCAACTAAGGACATCTGAAGGAAACAGAATTTAATTCTCAGAGTCAGGAGGTGATGAGAGACTGCTTTGGTAGGGAAAGTAATAGTAAATTTGTTCTTTCTTGGTTAAATAAAGAAGAAAAAGAAAGAAGAGAGGGAGGCAGGGAAAGAAATAGAAGACATAACAATCCTAAATATGTATCCACCAAACAGGAGAGCTGCAACATATGTAAAGATAAAAAAACAGAACTTTAAAAAAAAATAGACAAATCCACAATTACTTTGGAGACTTCAAAACTTCTCTCATAATGATTGATAGAACAACTAAACAGAAAATCAGCAAGAATGTTGAAGAACTAGGCCGGGCGTGGTGGCTCACACCTGTAATCCCAGCACTTTGGGAGGCCGAGGCGGGCGAATCATGAGGTCAGGAGATCAAGACCACCCTGGCTAACACGGTGAAACCCCATCTCTACTAAAAAATACAAAAAAATTAGCCGGGCGTGGTGGCGGGTGCCTGTAGTCCCAGCTACTCTGGAGGCTGAGGCAGGAGAATGGCGTGAACCCGGGAGGCTGAGCTTGCAGTGAGCCGAGATCGCGCCACTGCACTCCAGCCTGGGCAACAGAGCAAGACTCTGCTTCAAAAAAAAAAAAGAGTGTTGAAGAACTCAAACATCTTCAGCCACCAGAATTCAGTTAACATTTATAAAACAGTCCACACAGGAAGAGCAGAACACACTAGTCAAATCCACACTGAATATAGGTAAAGGTAAAACATATCCTGGGCCATAAAACAAACCTCAACAAATTTAAAAGAATTAACTAATATGGTATAATCCCTGACCAAAATGAAATTAAAGTAAAAATCAGTCACAAAAAGACAGAAAAATGTCCAAACGCTTGGAAAATGAACAACACACTACTAAACAGTTCATACAACAAAGAGAAAACCTTAGTAGATATCAAAAAATAAGGTAGCATGAATAAAAATGAAAATACAATATATTAAAAATTCCAAGATATCCTAAAGGAGTGCTGAGAGAGAAATATACAGCACTAAGTGCATACATTAGAAAAGAAAAAAGTCCCAAATCAGTCCTCTAAGCTCTTACTTGTAGAAATCAGGTGGGAAAAAGAGCAAAATAACCCAAAGCAAATAGAAGAAAGGAAATAATAAAAAATAAAAGCAGAAATCAGTGAAATGGAACACACGCACACACACACACACAAAAATAGAAAAACAAACAAAAAGCTAGTTCCTTTCAAGGATCAATAAAAGAAGAACTCTAGCAAGATAGAAATTTTCAGCAGAGAGATGACACAGTTTACCAACATCAGGAATAAAAAGAGGACATCACTGTAGACTCAGCTGACATCAAAAGGATGAAGGAGGCTGGGAATGGTGGCCCACGCCTGTAATCCCAGCACTTTGGGAGGCCGAGGTGGGTAGATCACTTGAGGTCAGGAGTTTGAGACCAGCCTGACCAATATGTCAAAACCCCGTCTCTACTAAAAAACAAAAATTAGCTGGGCATGGTGGCAGGCGCCTGTGATCCCAGCTACTCAGGAGACTGAGGCAGGAGAATCGCTTGAACTCAATAGGCGGAGGTTGCAGTGAGCCAAGATTGCACCACTGCACTTCAGCCTGGGTGACAGAGCAAGACTCCCTCTCACAAAAACAGAACAAAACAAAACAAAAACAAACAAAAAAGAAATGGTAAATCCAACCCCACCCCTGACATAATGCAACTACAAACCCCACTGGCTGTCCTACGTGGTTTAAGTTTTTGATTGAGAATAGGCAAGGAACCCCAGGAAAAAATCTTCCCCCTCAGCAGCCACCTGATCCTGGGACCTCCTTCTTAAACTTCTAGAACAGTGCTTCTCAAACTTTAGCATCAGAGTCACTTGAGGGCTTATTCAAACACAAGAGGCTGAGCCCCATGCTCAGCAGTTCTGATTCAATAGATCTGAGGTTAGGCCTGGAATTTAGCATTCTGCTTGCAGCACCCTAATTCCCCACCCCTTGCTCTCCTGTGCAGTGTCCGCTGTGGCTGACATGCCGCTGTTTGCCTGGAGAGAACCAATAGATGCCAGGAAATTAAAAAAGAAAAAGTATGAAACACAAAGAAAATACATGACACGTGGGTATTACCTTCCTCCAAAAAATGTATCTCAAAACAAACATGTGATTGGCCTGGGGGCACACACACAGCCAGTCCTCAGCTAAGCAGGTTTCACTAGACCGTATCCCTCCTGGATGCTAGTTATAGATACTTTCACTGGACAAAA
This sequence comes from Homo sapiens, assembly GCF_000001405.40. NCBI lineage: Eukaryota > Metazoa > Chordata > Mammalia > Primates > Hominidae > Homo > Homo sapiens. The sequence continues at coordinate 66,980 of NT_167244.2, forward strand.
GAATCAAGAAGTAAAGACATGCCAGCCTGATAGAGTGTTAGGCTGGTGGACTGGGAATAAACATTGTAGTTTCTTGTCTCTCAAAGACACTTTAATTCAACAATAAATAAATAAATATGTACAGAGAGAACAGCAGTTTTGAAACTGTATACCATTGGAAACCTTTAACAGGTACCATGAGTGCATAGAATTTCTTGGGAGTTCCCTTTTCAAAAAAAGCAGTTGTAATCAGATGGATCGAGAAAGAACATGAAATGTTTGTTTGGTTTTTTCCAAGGCAGAAAGCGCCCACACAATTGCGATCTACTTACCTTTTACTCTGCATGTATTTTCCATTGTGACAGAAAACCTTTCCCTGGTTTTTTCTTATGGGCCTCTGTTTGCTGTTACCAGAAGTTCCCAGGCAATATTACAGTGACTGAGGAAATGCAGGAATATGAATATGAATCAGTCTTATGGAATATCAGTAGGGAATGTTGATCCGTATTAGTTTTTGCTTCTTGCATGTTGAAGGCCTCTAATTCCCGGACAGTCTTCGTTTGGCCGTCCAGCGTCCTGCCACTCCTATCTCAAGTGGCTAGAGAGCCACAGCAGTCCTTGTCTCAGTATTGGATCGCACTTATGTCCCTATGTAGGTTGACAGGGAGAGACTGGTGTAGAAATGAGTGGACAGATGCTTTCGCTCTGTTCTTTGGCCCAGAAAACAAAAATAACTTAAAAAAAAAAAGATGCCCACTGGCATTTTTCTCTCTTCTTGGTCTTTGCGTCTCTTTAATCATAGTACAAAATGGAAGGCCGGGCGCGGTGGCTCACGCCTGTAATCCCAGCACTTTGGGAGGCCGAGGCGGGTGGCTCACGAGGTCGGCAGTTCAAGACCAGCCTGACTAACATGGTGAAACCCCGTCTCTACTAAAAATACAAAAAAATTAGCTGGGCGTGGTGGCGGGCGCCTGTAATCCCAGCTACTTGGGAGGCTGAGGCAGGAGAATCTCTTGAAACCGGAAGGCGGAGGTTGCAGTGAGCCGAGGTGGTGCGACTGCACTCTAGCCTGGGCAACGAGAGCAAAACTCCGTCTCAAAAAACAAAACAAACAAACAAAAACAAAACAAAACAAAACAAAATGGGAGCGAACGCAAGCCGCCTGTGAATGTTCATGCTTTTGTTTGGGTCAGGAGACCACTGTTGCGATCCTGTTCTTTCCCCCTCGTTACTTTTTTGTCTTCCTTCTGCTGTCGCAATCGCCTTATGTGATGTTGAGGCTCACAGCATAGAGGTTGGAGATAGTTCAAGGCAATGCATTGGAGTACATTTTTACTTACTATATGTGCAGAAATAGAATAGAAAAATGTGAGGAGGCAGAGGTCTGTCGCTTGAGAACTGCCAGAGGGAAACCATCACTTGGAGGTGTCGGGGATCGAACCGAGGCCTCATACATGCAAAGCATGCGCTCTACCACTGAGCTACACCCCCTTACTATAACACCCATTTGTAATAATTTTCAGGAGGTAACTTTCATTTTCTGAGACTCCGTGAGCATGCTGGTAATAGTGGTCAGTACCATAGAGCGTGGAGAGCTACTCTGAGCAGGAGATACTTGGTACTAATGGGGGATACAGATTCTTTAGAATACTGTGTAGGACTTGAAACGAAAAACGAAAGATTAGAAAAGTGTCAGATAATAACCACAAGAAGTTTCCTTTGTGGCCTGAAGACGTTGAGTTCTTAGGGTCTGCTTCTATTATGCTTGGCAAGAATCAAGTTCTGATTTTCGTTTCTTTTGATTTCTTCCAGATATAACACAAAGCCATTGAAATTCAGCCTTTTCCTGCCTAAAACGCTTCATAATTGTTGTTTGCTCAGTCGGAATATCAAAGGTAAGATTTGATAGAGGAAAGCCATGATCAGAAGAAAACCTGAGAGCGGTGCACTCAACATTTTTTCACAGGGGTCCTTAGCTGGCGTGGTGTCTTACTCCTGTACTCACAACTCCAGAGGCTGAGGCACGAGGATCGCTTGAACTTGGGAGTTAGCGATTGTAGGGAGCTATGATTGCACCACTACCCTCGAGCCCGGACAATGGAGTGAGAAAAGCAAGCAAGCAAGCAAGCAAGAGAAAGTGGGAGTGAGGGACGGAGGGAGGGAAAGAGGGAAGGAAGGGGGGAAGGAAGGGAGAAAGGAAGGAAGGAAGGAGAAAGAGGGAGGAAGGGAAGGAAGGAAAGGAGAGAGAGAGAGAAGAAGACGGGAGGTGAGGGGAGGGAATTCATAAGGCATAAATGAAAACCAGCTTTGGGGGTGGAGATGAGGGTTGAATTATGAGAGTAAGACGAAAGATAAATAGAAACAGGATTGAAGAGTAGTTCAGAAAAACAAACATGCTATTGCCAAAGACAAGCAGGCACAGAAAAGGGGAGGTTTTAACAACTCTTTCAGGAATGGGAGAAAGATTGAAAGATGGAGAAGATGAGTTAGTTTGGCTCATGCTAAATTTAAAATATCTGTGGGGCACGCCTGTGAGGATATTACACAGAGAACTCAGGCAATTAACTCCGTCTCCAGCCTGGGGTTTGTAAGCATTAGTAGTAGTAGACACATTACATGGAGGTGGATAAAGACTAAAAAGTGTACTTTGAGATATGGAAATTACAAACCTATTCGTGATATTTGTAGGCAACAAACAAGTTTTCTTCTAACTAGTTCTCGAATCTTGGGACTTATCACGGTGAGACTGGATTCTTTGAACTATATAAGAAGATGAGAAGAAAACCCATTTCTCGGAACCAAATTTCTGGTGACGATTAACTCTTTCTCATTCTGGTTTGCCCATATATGAGCCTTTGCCAATGTTAATAAAATAACATTGATCCATTTTAAAATTGGCAGATTGCAAGTTGTATGGCAGACTTGGCTTTTCAGTTGGCTGACGGGATTTCTAGAATAAAAATAGGAAACTGAGTAATAGGTTTCACTGAATGAGAGACTAGAGAAGCGTTACACACAAAATTCATATGTATTCATGTGTGTGCGTGTCTGCCTGTCTGTGTCTGTTTGTGTGTGCATGTAAATGCTTGGGAGGATTATCTTGACTCTTTGATGCTGTAAAAGCAATATTAGGACAGTTTGCAGAAACACTCCTTCATCCTTATGTCATGTCACAGCCAGAGAAACCTGGCTGTCTATCAGATTCTTGGGAATTCATAATAAGAAGATATGCTTTTTTGTTTGCCACATGAAAGGGGGGAATTTAAAATAATTAAATATCCATATCTATCTTCAGGCTATCTACCAACAACATGATTGAAACACTTTTTTTTTTGCGTATAATGTGTAGGATGAGCTTATTTATCACAGCATTCTTCTGAGGAATTAAACATTTAATTTTGAAGACAGAACACCCTCACGTCATACATACTCAGTTCTGAAAACCTAAAAATATATAAAGTACCTGTTTAAATCTGCACTTTCCAATATGGTTACCATTAGCCACATTGGCTATTGAATGCTTGAAATTGCCCAGTCCAAGGTAAGATGTGTTGTAAGTATAAAATATATACCAGATTTCAAAGATGCAATATCATTTTTAATATAAAATAACTCACTTATAATTTTAAGATGGATTACTTAAAATAATGTTGTTATACAAGGCCATTTACGTATATTATTAAAACTGGACATAAAAGACGGAAACAGTAAACATCGGGGACTACTAGGGAGTAGCTGGGAAGGGGAAAGGCTTGAAAAGCTAACTATTGGATACTATGCTCACTACCCGGGTGACAGGATTAATCCCACCCCAACCCCAGCATCATGCAATATACCCATGTAAGAATCCTGCACATGTACCCCCTGAATCTAACATAAAAGTTGAAATTATTTTTAAAATAATATAGAGACCGGGCTCGGTGGCTCACGCCTGTAATACCAGCACTTTGGGAGACCGAGGTGGGCGGATCACCTGAGATCGGGAGTTCAAGACCAGCCTGACCAACATGGAGAAACCTCGTATCTACTAAAAGTACAAAATTGGGGCCGGGCGCGGGGTCTCACGCATGTAATCCCAGCACTTTGGGAGGCCGAGGCGGGCGTATCACGGGGTCAGGAGATCGAGACCATCCTGGTTAACACGGTGAAACCCCAATTCTACTAAAAAATACAAAAAATTAGCCAGGCGTGGTGGCAGGCGCCTGTAGTCCCAGCTACTCGGGAGGCTGAGGCAGGAGAATGGCGTGAACCCGGGAGGCGGAGCTTGCAGCGCGCGCCACTGCACTCCAGCCTGGGCGACAGAGCGAGACTCCGTCACACACACAAAAAAAAAATTAGCTGGGGTGGTGGCGCGTGCCTGTAATCCCAGCTACTCGGGAAGCTGAGGCGGCAGGAGAATCGCTTGAACCCTGGAGGCAGAGGTTGCGGTGAGCCGAGATCGCGCCATTGCACTCCAGCCTGGGCAACAAGAGCGAAACTCCATCTACAAAAAAAAAAAAAAAAAAAAAAAAAAAAGATATAGAATAAATATTGCCTGTTTTTTTTAATGTGACTACTAGAAAATTTAGAACTACAAAAGTGACTCGCATTTATGACTTGTGTTTTTTTAATTATTTTTATTCCGGAAGATAAAGTAGAAGACTTGTATTATCTTTTAATTGGACAGCATTGTCTAGAGATGATGTTATCTCTTTAAATGCTGTTCTGGGAGATTCCCAGAGCCAGAGAACATGGAGCATGGTCTCCCAGTAATTAAGTTTCATGCCTTGAGTGTTCTCGACAGAATGCATTTCTATGCATAATCTCCTTAGATCTTTACAACATCCAATTTAACATAATTATTATTAGCTACATTTTTAAGCTATTGAATAGAAGACAAATCATGCTTGGAATTACCCTAGACCTTCCCTTTCAACAGAATGTAAAGGAATCATTACCGTGTTAGGCAAGAAAACATTCAGTGCTACCATTTGACTAATCAAATATTTCTTAATGAAATGAAACACAAGCTTCTGAGTTGAGAAAGCCTCAGTGACCTAAAGGATAAAGTATCTGATTTACAGTTTCTGTAGAGTCAGTGTCCTCACCCTGAGGTTTCTTCTCATTTGGTACTAATTTTCCTTTTTCAACTTGCTGCAGTTCTGATGTTGAAGTACTGTAGATTGTTTAGTCTCCTCACACAGTATGCAGGAGTTAGGGGAAAATAACTCTCAAAATGAAACAGCAATTTGAAAGAAAAAAGGAGGGAAAAAAAAGACCCATTACCCCCAACACAGTATTTCAACAGAGAAGTTGAAGTGGAAAAGGGAAAATGAGGCACATGCACCTGAATCTTGATGACTTTGCTGCCCATTTGCTTTCATTTTCAGTATTCTAAGGCCCCTCATGAATGTCTGACAGAATAATTCATATACAAGTACTTGTTTTTGTTCTTTCCTGGATTCCAACACAGAAATTAGTTAAGATTTGGAAATTCTGGACAAGGGTGCCAGGCTTCCTGTCAGTAAGAAAACTTAGAATATTCCTGTAATTAGGCCTGGTGTGGTGGCTCAAGCCTGTAATCCCAGCATGGTGAGAGGCAGAGGTGAGCCAGGATTTCCAGAAGAGCCAGGGCAACATGGTGAAACCCAGTCTCTACCAAAAAAATTAAAAAAAAAACAAAACCAAAAAACAAACAAACAAACAAAAAGCCAGGCTTGTTGTTGCATTTCTGTAGTCTCAGCTACTCAGGAGGTTGACATAGGAGGATCGCTTGAGTCCAGGGAGGCTGAGGCTGCAGTGAGCTGTGATCATACCACTGCATTCCAGCATGGGTGACAGAGTGAGACCCTGCCTCAGAAAAACAAAACAAAGCAAAAGTTATTTTTCCAGCAGTTTAACTGCGGAGCTATGGAGTTGACTCAAGGTACAAACCCGGTTTTTTCTAATTGCAAAATGTTTCTTGAATATACCACCACCACATATATACACTCATACAGTATAATAGTTCTTCTTCTACAGGTTTCTTCACATTTCTTGTGATTTAAAAACACCCCCGCCCAACACACATAAATAACATCAGATCAGAAATGAATTGTAAGTGCCACAGCATATAGCATATTGGAATTTCTTAGGTTTTAAAAGTAATAACTTGCTAGGTTTAAGACTTTAAATAATTTACGTCCTGTCAGTTAACACTTCATGGAAGTCTTCAGTGGAGAGAGTGTTACAAATATATATATATATATGTGTTTGTGTGTAAATATATATATATAGATGTGTGTGTGTGTGTGTGTGTGTGTGTGTGTGTGTATACATTACCTTTATGGAATTTTCAGAAAACAGCCAAAAAAAAGAAAAAAGAAAAAAGAAACAAAAAAACCACAAACACCTGGAGTTATATATAGACCTCTGGGATTGGTGCGCAAGCGCTGTGTTGAAGGAGTGACAATTATGCTAAAACCAAAATGCAACTGCCGAAACCCGGGATTGAACCAGGGACCTTTAGATCTTCAGTCTAACGCTCTCCCAACTGAGCTATCTCGGCCACCGTGATCCTACTGCTTTTGTCATTTCTTCAAAATACAGAAACTGCCATTTGTAGGGTCAGTGTATCTTCCAACGCCTAATTCTGTTGTCTTCAATATCACCCGTCATTCACTCACCTCCCCTCCACCCAAGAAATATAAGTTCTGCTGCAATTTATGTGTGAAATAGGATCCAATTTTCCCCAGCAAAAGATGGGAAAGAAAAGGCGAGGAATAGGTCAAATGAGGAAGATACTCCCATGCTTGGTCACCGTATAAAACACTGCTCAGAAAACTAAGGAATTCAAAATGAAATTATGTAGGCATTTCCTTTTCTCTTTTTTCGGATTTTCTTTTTCTGGCTTGCTCTTCAATGGCATGTCATAAAGGAACAGAAGATTAGTGGACACTTTAACACGGTAGTGGGCTTATAGCTTCCGAAAAAAGACATCCTGAGCGAGGTAGTTCTTTTTTTCTATTTTCTTCCTTTTACCAGTCTTGTGCTCACACATCCACCTTGGGTGGTACGGAGACCCAGGGAGTGAAAATGGAAAGTATAATATGTTTGTTTGTTTGTTTCTTTGTTTCTTTGTTTTGAGATGGAGTCCCGCTCTGTCTCCCAGGCTGGAGTGCAGTGGCACGATCTGGACTTAGTGCAACCTCCGTCTTTCAGGTTCAAGCGATTCTCCTGACTCAGTCTCTTCCAGTAGGTGGGATTACAGGCGCGCCCCACCACGCCCAGCTAATTTTTTTGTATTATTAGTAGAGACGAAGTTTCACCATGTTGATCAGTCTGGTCTCGCCTCGGCCTCCCAAAGTGCTAGGATTACAGGCTTGAGCCACCGTTCCCGGCCTATTCCTTGGAGTTCAGAGAATTGTGGTCTGCACATTGATGCATAAGAATTGTTTTTTTTTTTCCAGCTGGGTGCAGTGGCTCACGCCTGTAATCCCAGCACTTTGGGAGGCCAAGGCGAGCAGATCGCCTGAGGTCAGGAGTTGGAGACCAGCCTGTCCAACATAGTGAAACCCCATGTTGTCTCTACTGAAAACACAAAAATTAGCCCCGCGTCGAGGCGCGCCCCTGTAGTCCCAGCTACAGAATCTCTTGAACCCAGGAGGCAGAGGTTGCAGTGAGCCGAGATCACACCACTACACTCCAGCCTGGGTGACAGAGCAAGACTCCATCTCAAAAAAAAAAAAAAAAATTGCTTTTTACATACACATCTGTAATCATGAGATTGTATTTATTTATTTTTATTTTGACAGTGTCCCACTCTGCCAGACTGGAGTGCAGTGGCAATCTCCTCTCACTGCAACTTTCACCTCCTGGCTCAATCAGTTCTTCCACCTCAGCCTAGAAGTTTTATATCAATTCAAAAGTGTCAAGACATTGGACTCCTCTTGATAAATAACTTAAGAACAATTTAAGACGTTTACAGAATTTCAGAAACAGTTCTCTCTGGAATGAGGGAATTGCTATGGCCAATAATTACTTGCAAACTGAATTTTAATAAAACCCTCTCTATGTCTGGACAGTTTTCAAACTGAGTCTCCTATTCTGAAAGAGTCAAGGCTTTCAGTTTTAGCCAAAATTTGATGGAAGGGTCGATAAGAAATTGTTCTTGAAGCCAGGAGTGGTGGCTCACGCCTGTAATCCCAGCACTTTGGGAGGCAGAGGCGGGTGGATCACCTGAGGTCAGAAGTTCGAGACCAGCCTAGTCAACATGGTGAAACCCCGTCTCTACTAAATGCACATAAATTAGCCAGGCATGGTGGCGGGCGCCTATAATCCCAGCTACTCAGGAGGCTGAGGCAGGAGAATCGCTTGAACCCGGGAAGCAGAGGTTGCAGTGACCCGAGATCGCACCACTGCGCTCCAGCCTGGGCAACAAGAGCGAAACTTCGTTTCCCCCCCAAAAAATTGTTTCTGGATGATTAGATGATTTCCTAAAAATTAAATAAATAAAATTTATAAAATTATGTTCGCTTTCAGTCTTTGTCTTGTCCTCCCGCTTGTAAGGTCCGAGCCTTCTCAGACAGGAAACAACATTCCTCTGGGTTTATCCCCTCCGCCTCACGTCTCTCCCCAGCTGGGCGCAGCCTCAGCCTATGCTGCAGAAATGTTAAAAGTTGAACATACAGAGAGGAAAAAAATGGAACGTGATGCGGAAATTAAAACAGCAGCTACATATAAATCTCAACACAGTGCTTAAAATGTGTGTAAATGGTTCTAGGACTGCGCTGCACTATTGTGAAAAGTTCATTCAGAAGTAAATGGGAGGGAAGGTGGAGAGGAGCTGAGCGCCAGCTGGCGGAGAGAGGGAAAAGGAGGGGTGCCGTGAAGTGGAGGAAGAAAAACACAAATGGGAGAGAGATAGAGGGCAAGGAAAAGCATCCTTAAGATGATTCGGACTTGGATGGACGGGACCGTAGAGTGAATCTAAGCGCCACATCTCTCCGTCGCTTCCTCTGGCCGTGAGGGAAGAGAGGTGTCCCTAGGGAGGTAGGCTGGACCAGGAAGGAGACCTGGTTCGTTTCGCCCAGGCTGTCACGGCTTCAAGAGCGCCTCTCCGCTATTTCCGTCGCTCGACAGACGGGCTGAGCTCTTTGGAGTGATGTTGGGTTTTGGTTTGCGCCTCAGGAACCGCTGATACCGTAGCTTCTGAGGGAGCTTCAGGGATTGCCTGGCTTCCTAAGTGCCCGTGTTGAGAGTTAGAAGCGGGATCTGCCGGCAGCTAAGAGACTGAGCATGACGGCGGAAACATCTAATTTTATTAGTTTTTGCTTAAAATGCAAAAGATGAGAAAAAGTTACCGTTTCTTTGCTCCATATATATCTCCTAGAATAAAGCCAATCGAAAGCCAACTTCACCCTAAAGAAACTCTTCCTGGCGTTTGCAACGAGCTCCTTTACTCCTAACGTCCAGCTCTTGGCTCAGGACCTGCAGAGCGTCACAGCTGTTGCAGAAAGGCGAAGTCGAGGTACAATCGGTGTTAACTACGTGTGCAGCCACCGTCTTCTTAGTCCTGTTACAGGTGCAGAGGCAATATAAGTGAACCACTCACAAGTCGTGTGGGCTGACCTCAGATTGAGTTTAGCGATGACTTGTGACCACCTGGTAGATGGTGGACCGTTACAGCATTTAGAAAGTGAGTAAAAGAAAGGATGCATACGGAAGCCCACACGCTTGCTTGGCTCCTGCAGATGGATAGAGGTCACTTTTCTGCCTTCTGGGTGTTTAGTAACTTATTTTTTTTTTTGCTTTGTTGGCATGAAATAAAGATGAAAATAAAAGCAGATTTTCTTTTAACAAGTTAGTATTAACATGCTTGCAGAGTATTTCCCTGTGGATTTCTGCTTAGTACTGTAATACCAGAATCAGAAACTCTACAAAGAGCTCTCTAATCTGGAGGTATGGGTTGTTCCCTAGCTTAGAAGGAGGTTATTTCTGGAGAGTAAGTACAATCAGGTAGAAAAGGATCCGTTGGGCTTGGGAGAATAAACGTTCATTACTTTTATTTATGAAAAACAACAAAATGAGCTTTCTCCTATACTGATCTTGTTTCCTGGAGTTCAGAGTATTTGCATCTCAGACCAGAAACTTCCTTGAGGACCCAGAGAAGTACTTTTTACTTCCACCAAATTTCAGCTGAGGTGACTGCTATCTTTTCATCATTTGCCTTGTGTTTGTAGTTAAATAGTTTAAGTTTCAAACTATGTGGGTCTCTAATGGAAAAAGTGACCACCAGCACATCAAATCATCAACCACCGGCAGTGTAATCTTTTAGTGAAAGCTTGTAGGGCTTCTCAACCTGGTTAGAGGGAGTTAGAAGAAGAAACAGAAAAGGACGTGAGCCTTTTTAGCTTCTGATCTGAAATCAGACTTGGGCCACACAGTTCTATGGTTTCTGATGATTTCATTTACAACTAGAAATTGGTTGCATGGCCAGGAATACTGCTTGCTTCCCTCGTGCGTGGTTCATGTTAGTGATTGGTGGACTGCTTAGAAAATATAAGTGGATAATCCTAAGCAGCAAATAGATTCAAAGGAATAAACACGAGTCACCTCTGTGTATGAGAGAGAAATGCAGAGGCCAACACAATTCACCTTGACAGACAGAAAAATTTAAAGTTGGGGAATATCATGGACCGCTTCTCACTAGTGCCCGGGGAAGAAAACAAAACCTGGAGGTATTGGGGATTGAACCCAGGACCTCGTGCATGCTAAGCACGCGCTCTACCGCTGAGCTATACCCCCTCTGGAAGACTTGCCTTTTAGAGAATATTTTGATGACTATTATTGTCTGAGTCTGGGCTCTGTGTCATGATAATCTTTATGTTTTCAATTCCACTCTCAATTTCCTACAGGAAGTGTTTCCTCTCTTAGGCCCTGCTACACCAAAAGAAAGGTAGCTTAATAGTACAAATAAAGGCACTGTTCCTGATTTGTGGTCAGTCCAAGATCAACTCACCCCACGGTGGGCTCCCCATCGCGTTAGATTTCCTGGAGCATACTTGCATTCAATCATTTGAGTGTGTCCTGGCATACAACATTCTCTTGCAAATTTTCTGATTATAATGTTCTGTATTCTTTTGACTCTTGGAAGCGTGTTAGTCTCACATGGTCAAAAAATAAAACTGACTCAAGTGTGTGTGAAAATACCCTAAAATTCAACACAAATAGAGGCAAATTAAAACTGCATTGTGAAAGAATAACATAACCCCATTGAAATAACTGATTTAAGAAAATGCTTGACAAAGTTCGTTGTTCTAATTGTAAGTACAAAAAGAAGAGGAAACAAATCTTAAACTCTATGTATGAGGGTTTTTTTTTTAGAGCTAAGGCTGCAGGAATTCTGAGATTTTGTGTGAATTTTAGGATTGGGAAAATGAGTGTGTGTGAGCGCGTGTGTTGTTGGAAACAGGCTGTCACTGTAAGAGAAAGCAGGTAAAGAATAGTCCTGTTGGTGTTGATGGGAATTGGAGGCATCAGTATGAAATTATACATATGTAATTGTATAGGCCGGGCGCGGTGGCTCACGCTTGTAGTCTCAGCACTTTGGGAGGTTGAGACGTGTGGATCGCTTCAGGTCAGAAATCGAGAACAGCCTGGCCAACATGGCAAAACGCCGTTTCTCCTAAAAATACAAAAATTTGACGGGTGTGGTGGCCGCCCCTGTAGTCCCAGCTATTCGGGAGGCTGAGGCAGGATAATCGCTTGAATTCGGGAGGCGGACGTTGCAGCGAGCCAAGATCGCACCACCGCACTCCAGCCTGGGCGACTAAGACTCTGTCTCAAAAAATAAAAATAGTACATTTTCCCTACAGATCTGTCTGCTAACTGAGCCTGGAAGAAATACCTTAGAAACAATGAGCAAGATGACTCTATATTTTGATTTTCAAATACCATTCTCTACTAAAAGGAACCAGAGATACTAATAGAAAGTAGCTACTAGTGTCAACTACACTGACTCCAGGACTGTGCCAGGGAAACTACAAGATGAACCTAAAATATCTTGCTGTGCCAGAATGATGGGGATGATTTAAAAGAACACAGAAGCTCCGGGGTGGCTCACGCCTGTAAACCCAGCACTTTGGGAGACCGAGGCGGGCGGATCACCAGAGGTTAGGAGTTCCAGACCCGCCTGGCCAACATGGTGAAGTCCCGTCTCTACTAAAAATACAAAAAATGGCCTGGCATGGTGGCTCATGCCTCTAATCCCAACTACTTGGGAAGCAGAGGTAGGAGAATCGCATGAACCCGGGAGGCGGAGGTTGCAGTGAGCCGAGATCGCACCACTGCACTCCAGCCTGGACGACAGGGCAAGACCTGTCTCAATAAATAAATAAATAATAAAGTACATGAGAAAAATAATAGTGTGTGTGTGTGTTTAGCCGTAAAGAGAGAGGAGAATCATTGTGGCAAAATATCGGGAATTGGTAAATATGAGTAACTTGTGTGTGGCAGTTCTTTGTATCATTTTTGCAACTTTTCTGTAGGTTTGAAATAATTTCAAACTAAAAAGGTTTTTCTAAATTCTCCCTTCTCAAATTTCTTTTCCCTCTTCCTTCAAGGGCTGTACTCTTCTATCAAGAGTAACGTAGATGGATACTAAAACAGAAGGGTCAGTACCGTCTCGGGGGATTTAGGTGCAGGTGAGGAGGTGAGAAAGTGGAATTCCCAGCTCTTAGAAACGAAGACCCAGGAGCGTGGGTCGCTGCCCGTCCTTACCCTGCCAGCGCCTGGGCCAGCACCATGGTCGCGAAACCCAGCATGGATTTCGTCTTGGGGACGCTATGGCTCCAGTTCTGACACTCAAGAAACGATGGATGGAGAGGAGAACGAGGACCACCTTCGAAAAGAGTTCGAGAGGGAAGCAGGGACGCGGTGGGGTGCGCACCTGCGGCGGCGGCGGCAAAGGCGGAGGAGAAGCGAAGTGGGCGAGCGCCCGAGGCTGCCAGAGGATCTGGGTGGGCCGGAAGGCGGAGTGCAGCCCGGAAGCCCATCTCCGCTGCTTTTCCTCGCTGTCCGCGATAAGCGAGAGGGCTCATTCCCTGTTGGAGAAGTGAGCTGAAAACACTTTCCTCGCAAGATCTCCCTCGTTTTGCTCAAGGCAGTCGCGGCGTTGAGAACGCCTCGCAGCTCCTTTACTGGCTGGGGCACTGGGGAGAACGGGTACCCTTGAGTTTTGGTACAGGCGGGTGGTATTAGTGGCTTCCAAGGAAACGACAGAGAAGCCGCCTATTTCCAATCCCTACTGTTAGCGAGGGGGAGAGTGTTTAACCGGGAAGAGAGACCCTCCCGCTGAAGCATAGGGTCCTTTGTTATAGATAGGAAGAGTGTTCTTTGCTTTTGTTTTTGTTATAGCTTGTCAAGCTTGGAATACAAGGCATGAAAAACAAGAAAGGTAAGGCAGTCCCAGTATATTTTAAACTTACGAGGGTTTTCAGAAGGAGTACTACCTTGTTTTTATGGAATTCAGGGTGTCCAGATTTCAACCTACCTAGCAGAGTGAAGCTCTATGAGTCTAATATCTTGGCTTTCTTCCACATCAGCAAGCCTCTGAAATTCGGGTTTCTTTCTGGACAATATCACCTACATTTTGCAGTCGGCTCCTATATTGCCTGCATCCAACTCGTGGAAGCAAGAACAGTGGGAAAAGCCAAGGTTACCACATAAAAGAAGATCCTTACATGAGACAAGTGTAAATAAAGCAGCAGCTGAGGTGTGTGTAGAGGAAGAGACAAACGTGAAAATGTAGAAAGTGGATACAGAATTTTTTCCAAGGAGGAAGAGGAATGGTCTGCTCACAACGAGGAACTCTCTACTTACTGCTGCAAAGATACTTTTATTACATTTCATGCATATGCTGGATTTTAACAACCAGAACATTGGTAGACTTGGTGGGGGCTGGAGAGACAGCAGTCACTCCCAACCCTGAGGATGAGTCCTCACCCTGAGGGTGGAGAGAAAATGATTACTCTCTGCCACAGGGCTTAGAATCGTCCAAGCCTGGGTTTCAAATTGCAAGGCCCAAATAGCTTGAGAGAGCTCCAGGTATTTCAGCTCAAAAGAGTCTCCTGGTTCAAGAGAATTCCTGTGAGTTCCTCCACAGGAAAATCAGTCTGTTGTGTGTGACCTGAAAAGTTGCATAAATATTCAAAGGGTCAAAGAAATGGTAAATTCAACCCCATCCCTGACATAAGACGAATACAAACCTCACTGGCTTTCCTAGGTTTGTGTTTTTGATTGAGAATAGGCAGGGAACCCCAGGACCAACTCTTCCTCCTCAGCAGGTGCCTGACCCTGGGACTTCCTGAAACTTCTAGAGCAGTGCTTCACAAACTTTAGCATCAGAGTCACTTGAAGGCTTATTCAAACACAGGAGGCTGAGCCCCATCCATACTCAGCAGTTCTGATTCAATAGACCTAAGGTTGGGCCTGAAATTTATTATTCTGATTGCAGCACCCTAATCCTCCACCCCTTGCTCTCCTATGCAGTGTCCACTGTGGCTAACATGCCACTGTTTGCCTGGAGAGAACCAATGGATACCAGGAAATTAAAGAAGAAAAAGTATGAAACAAAAAGAAAATACATGGCATGTGTGTATTACCTTCCTCCAAAAAATGTGTCTCAAAACAAACATATGATTGGTCTGGAGGCACACACACAGCCAGTCCTCAGCTAAGCAGGTTTCATCAGACAGTATCCCTCCTGGATGCTGGTTATAGATATTCTCACTGGACAAAAGAATCAAGTAAGGTCATGTTAGCCTCATAGAGTGTATCTATCATGCCAGCCTGATAGGCTGGTGGACTAGGAACAAACATCATACTCTCTTGCCTCTCAAAGACACTTTAATTCAATAGGAAATATGTACAGAGAGAACAGCAGTTTTGAAACCATACACCGTTGGAAACCATAAAAGGTTTCATGAGTGCATAGGATTTCTTGGGAGTTCCCTCTCCAAAAAAAGCGATGTAATCAGGTGGATCGAGAAAGAACATGAAATGTTTGTTTGTTTTTTCCCAAGGCAGGAAGTGCCCAACACACCTGCGATCTACTTATCTTTTAGTCTGCATGTATTTTGCATTGTGACAGAAAACCTTTTCCTAGTTTTTCATATGGGGCCTCCGTTTGCTCTTACCAGAAGTTCCCAGGCAATATTTTATTGTAAAGAGGAAAATGGAGTGACTGAGGAAATACAGGAATACAAATCAGTCTTATGGAACATCAGTAGGGAATGTTGATCCGTATTGGTTTCTGCTTCTCGCACGTTGAAGGCCTCTAATTCCCCGACAGTCTTCGTGTGGTTATCCAGCGCCCTGCCACTCCCATCTCAAGCGACTGGAGAGCCACAGCCCTTGTCTCAGTACTGGATCACACTGGTAGCTGTGTTCTCCGCGCAGGTAGACAGGGAGAGACTGGTGGAGAAATCAGTGAACAGAGGCTTTCGCTCTGTTCTTTGGCCCAGAAAACAAAAATAACTTAAAAAAAAATAGATGCCTTCAGGGCGCTTTTCTCCCTTCTCCTTTGTCTTTGCGTCTCATTAATCATAGTACAAAATGGGAGTGAAAGCGAGCCGCCTGTGAATGTGCACGCTTTTGTTTGGGTTCAAGAGACCGTGTTGCGATCCCGTTCTTCTTTCCCCCTCATTTCTTGTTTGTCTCCCTTCTGCTGTGGCAATCGCCTTTGGTGATGTCGAGGTTCACAGCATAACCAGTGGAGATAGTTCAAGGCTGAACATTGGGCTACACTTTTACTGTCTATATGTGCAGAAATAGGATAGAAAAACGTGAGGAGGCAGAAGTCTGTCGCTTGAAAACTACCAGAGCAAAACCATCGCTTGGAGGTGTCGGGGATCGAACCCGAGGCCTCATACATGCAAAGCATGCGCTCTACCACTGAGCTACACCCCCTTACTATAAGGTCTCTTTGTAATAATTTTCAGGAGGTAACTTTCATTTCCTGAGACTCCGTGAGCATGCTGGTAGTAGTGGTCAGTATTATGGAGTGCGGAGAGCTGTTCTGAGCAGGAGATACTTGGTACTAATGGGGGATACAGATTCTTTAGAATACTGTGTAGGACTTGAAACGAAAAACGAAAGATTAGAAAAGTGTCAGATAATAACCACAAGAAGTTTCCATTGTGGCCTCAAGACGTTGAGTTCTTAGGGTCTCCTTCTATTATGCTTGGCAAGAATCAAGTTCAGGTTTTCGTTTCTTTTAATTTCTCCCAGATACGACACAAAGCCATTGAAATTCAGCCTTTTCCTGCCTAAAACGCTTCATAATTGTTGTTTGCTCAATCGGAATATTAAAGATAAGATTTGATGGAGGAAAGCCACAATCAGAAGAAAACCTGACAGCGATGCACTTAGCATTTTTTCATAAGGGTCCTTAGCTGGCGTGGTGTCTTACGCCTGTACTCCCAGCTACTCTAGAGGCTGAGGCACGAGGATCGCTTGAGCTCGGGAGTTAGTTGTTGTAGGGAGCTATGACTGTGCCACTGTCCTCCAGCCTGGGCAACAGAGAGAGAAGGGAAGGGGAGGGGAGGGAAAGGGGGAGAAGAGGGGAGACGAGGGGAGAAGAGGGGAGGGGAGGGGAAGGGATTCATAAGGCGTGAATGAAAAACAGCTATGGGGATGGAGAGAAGGGTTGAATTATGAGAATAAGACCGAAGATAAATACAAACAGGGTTGAAGAATGCTTTAGAAAAACAAACACAGCAGGTGCAGAAAAGGGGAGAGGTTTTAACAGCTCTTTTAGGAATGAGAGATAGACTGGAAGATGGAGAAGATGAGTTAGTTTGGCTCATACTCAATTTAAAGTATCTGTGGGGCACACTTGTGAGGATGTTTCTCAGAGAATTCAGGCAATTAACTCTGTCTCTAGCCTGGGATTTGTAAGCATTAATAGTAGTAGACACATTACATGGAGGATGGATAAAGACTAAAAAAGTGTACTTTGAGATATGGAAATTACAAACCTATTCGTGATATTTGTAGTGAACAAACAAGTTTGTTTGTTCTTGAATTCAAAAGTTCTTGAATCTTGGGACTTATCGTGTGTCCTTTGAATTACATAAGAAGATGAGAAGAAAACCTATTTCTCAGCACCAAATTTCTAGTGACTATTAACTCTTTCTCATTCTGGTTTGCCTATATAAGAGCCTTTGCCAATGTTAATAAAGTAACATTGATGGCTTTCAAAATTGCCAAATTGCAAGTTGTATGTCAGACTTGGCTTTTCAGTTGGCTGATGGGATTTCTAGAATAAAAATAGGAAACACTGAGTGATAGACTTCACTGAAGGAGAAACTAGAGAATTGTTATAGACAAAATTGATGTGTATTCATGTGTGTTTGCCTGCCTGACTGTGTCTGTGTGTGTGCATGTAAATGATGGGAAGGATTATCTTGGCTCTTTGATGCTGTAAAAGCAATATTAGGACAGTTTGCAGAAACTCTCCTTCATCTTTATGTTGTGTTACACCCAGAGAAACTTGGCTGTCTATTGGATTCTTGGGAATTCATAATAAGAAGGTTGCCTCATAAAAATGGGAGAATTTTAAATAATTAAATATCTGTAGCTATCTTCAGACTATCTACCAGCAACACGATTGAAACATGTTTTTTGTGTGAAATCTGTAGGATGAGCTCATTTAACATAGCATTCTTCTGAGAAATTAAACATTTAATTTTGAAGACAGAACACCCTGTCATACACACTCAATTTCGAAAACCTAAAAATATATAAAGTATATGTTTAAATCTGCACTGTCCAATATGGTTACCATTAGCCACATTGGGTATTGAGTACTGAAAATTGCCTAGTCTAAGTTAAGATGTGTTGAAAGTGAGAAATATATACCAGATTTCAAAGATGTAATTTTTTTTTCATGGAGTCTCGCTCTGCCACCTAACCTGGAGTGCAGTGGTGCAATCTTGGCTCACAGCAACCTCCACCTGTTGGGTTCAATCCATTCTCCTGCCTCAGCCTCCTGAGTAACTGGGACTACAGGCGCGCACCACCATGCCTGGCAATTTTTCTTTTTCTTTTTTTTTTTTTTTAGTAGAGACAGGGTTTCACCATGCTGGCCAGGCTGGTCCCAAACTCCTGACCTTGTCATCTGCCCTCCTCGGCCTCCCAAAGTGCTGGGATTACAGGCATGGGCCGCCGCACCTGGCCAGATGTAATATCATTTTTTAAACATAAAATGTCTCACTGATAATTTTAAGATTGATTACTTGTTAAAATAATATTTTGGACATGCAAGGTGATTTACATATATTAGTAAAACTGGACATAAAAGATGGAAACAATAGACACTGGGGACTACTAGAGGGGGAGGCGAGAAGGGGAAAGGCTTGAAAAGCTAACTATTGGATACTATGTTCACCACCCAGGTGATGGGATTAATCTCACCCCAACCCCAGCATCATGCACTATACCCATGTAACAAACCTGGACATGTACCCCCTGAATCTAAAATAAAAGTTGAAATTATTATTATTAGTATTATTATTTTGAGACAGAGTCTTGCTCTGTCTCTCAGGCTAGAGTACAGTGGCGCTATCTGGGCTCACTGCAAACTCCTCCTCCAGGTTTCAAGTGATTCTCCTATCTCAGACTCCCAAGTAGCTGAAATTACAGGCATGCACCACCACACCCAGCTAATTTTTGTATTTTTATTAGAGACAGGGTTTCACCATATTGGTCAGGTTGGTCTTGAACCCCTGACCTCAGGTGTTCCGCGCACCTCGGCCTCCCAAAGGGCTGGGATTACAGGTATGACCCACCTTGCCTATCTAAAAGTTGAAATTGTTAAAAAATTATATAAAATAAGTATTGCCTGTTTATTTTTTAAATGTGACTACTAGAAAATTTAAAACTACAGAAGTGGCTCTCATTTAAGATTTGTATTAACTTTTTTAAAAATTCTTTTTATCCCAGAAGCTAAAGCAGAAGACTTGTAGTATCTTTTGATTGGACAGCATTGTCTAGAGACGATGTTATCTATTTAGGTGCTGTTCTGGGAGAATCCCAGAGCCAAAGGACATGGAGCATGGTCTGCCAGTAATTAGGTTTCATGCCGCGAGTGGACTTGACTAAATGCATTTCCATGCATGATCTCCTTAGACCTTTGCAACATCCCATTTTACATAATCATTATTAGCCTCATTTTTAAGGTATTGAATGAGAGACGAATCATGCTTAGAATTACCCTAGGCGTTTCATTTCAACAAAATGTAAAGGAATCACTACTGTGCTAGGCAAGAAAACATTCAATCCTGCCATTTGTCTAATCAAATGTTTCCTTTTTTTTTTCTTTTTTTAAGACAGAGTCTTGCTCTTGTTGCCTAGGGTGGAGTGCAATGTTGCGATCTTGGCTCACTGCAACCTCCGCTTCCCGGGTTCAAGGGATTCTCCTGCCTCAGCCTCTCGAGTAGCTGGGATTACAGGCATCCACCACCACACCCAGCTAATTTATTATTATTATTATTATTATTGTTATTATTATTATTTTGTATTTTTAGTAGTGACAGGGTATCACCATGTTGGCCAGGCAGGTCTTAAACTTCTGATCTCAGGTGATCTACCCGCCTCAGCCTCCCAAAGTGCTGAGATTACAGGCGTGAGCCACCACGCCCAGCCTATCAAATATTTCTTAATGAAATAAAACACAGGCTTCTGAGTTGAGAAAGCCTCAGTGACTTAAAGGGTAAAGTATCTGATTCCTAGTTCCTGTACAGTCAATGTCCCCACCCTGAGGTTGGTCTCTCATTTGGTACCAATTTTCCTTTCACAATTTGATGCAGTTCTGATGTTGGAGTACTGTAGTTTATTGTCTCCTCACACAGTATGCAGGTGTTAGGGGAAAATAACACTGAAAATGAAACACCAATTTGAAAGAAGAAAAGATATTAAAAATGACCAAAAAAAATCAGACAAAAAAAAAAAAAAAAAAAAACAGGACAAAAAAGGCCCATTATCCCAACACAAAATTTCAAGAGAGGAGTTGAAGTAAAAAAAAGGAAAATGGGGCACATCCACCTGAGTCTTGACAGAATAATTAATTTAGAAATACTTATTTTTGACTGGACGCAGTGGCTCACATCTATAATCCCAGCACTTTGGGAGGCCGAGGCAGGTAGATCACGAGGTCAGGAGTTGGAGACCAGGCTGGCCAACATGGTGAAATCCCGTCTTTACTAAAAATACAAAAATTAGTCAGGCATGGTGGTGGACGCCTGTAATCCCAGCTGCTTGGGAGGCTGCAGCAGGAGAATTGCTTGTGCCGGGGAGGCGGAGGTTGCAGTGAGCTGAGATCGTTCCACTGCACTCTAGCATGGGTAACATAGCAAGATTCTGTCTCAAAAAAAAAAAAAAAAAGAAAAAAGAAAGAAAGACTTATTTTTGTTCTTTCCTGGATACCAATGAGGAAATAACTTAAGATTTGGAAATTCTAGGCAAGGTTTCCAGGCTAAAGAAATGTCCTGTCAGTAAGAAACTTAAAAATATTCCTGTAATTAGGACTGGTGCGGTGGTTCCCACCTGTAATCCCAGCACGTAGGGAGGCAGAAGCGGGCAGGTTGCTTGAGCCCAGGATTTCAAGAACAGCTGGGGGAACATGGTGAAACCCAGTTTCTACAAAAAAAAAGTACAAAAGAGAGAGAGAGAAAGCCAGGCTTGTTGTTGCATTTCTGTAGTCTCAGCTACCCAGGAGGCTGACATGGGAGGATCGCTTGAGTCCAGGGAGGCTGAGGCTGCAGTGAGCTGTGATCATACCACTGCACTCCAGCATGGGTGACAGAGTGAGACCCTGCCTCAAAAAAACAAAACAGGGCCGGGCGCGGTGGTTCACACTGTAATCCCAGCACTTTGGGAGGCCGAGGTGGGTGGATCACGAGGTCAGTAGATCGAGACCATCCCAGCTAACATGGTGAAACCCCGTCTCTACTAAAAATACAAAAAATTAGCTGGGCGTGGTGGTGGGCGCCTGTAGTCCCAGCTACTCGGGAGCCTGAGGCAGGAGAATGGCGTGGACCCGGGAGGCGGCGCTTGCAGTAAGCCGAGATCGTGCCACTGCACTACAGCCTGGGCGACAGAGCGAGACTCCGTCTCAAAAAAAAGAAAGTTATTTTCCCAGCAGTTTAACTGCAGAGCTATGGAGTTGACTCAAGATACAAACCGAGGTGTTTCTTTCTTTTTTTTTTTTTGAGACGGAGTGTCGCTCTGTCACCCAGGCTGGATTGCAGTGGTGCGATCTCAGCTCACTGCAAGCTCCGCCTCCCGGGTTCACGCCATTCTCCTGCCTCAGCCTCCTGAGTAGCTGAGACTACAGGCGCCCGCCACCGCGCCCCACTAATTTTTTTGTACTTTTAGTAGAGACGGGGGTTTCACCGTGGTCTCGATCTCCTGACCTCGTGATCCACCCGCTTCGGCCTCCCAAAGTGCTGGGATTACAGGCCTGAGCCACTGCGCCCGGCCAAACCGAGGTTTTTGGAATTGCAAAATGTTTCTTGAATATACCACTACCACATATATACACTCATACAGCATAATAGTTCTTCTACAGGTTTCTTCATAGTTCTTGTGATTTAAAACACCCCTGCCCAACACACATAAATAACATCAAATCAGAAATGAATTGTAATTGCCACAGTCTATAGCATATTGGAATTTCTTAGGTTTTAAAATTAGTAACTTTCTAGATTTAAGATTTTAAATAATTTACATACCATCAGTTAACACTTCATGGAAGACTTCAGTGGAGAGAGTGATACAAATATACATACATATATATATACATTACCTTTATGGAATTTTCAAAAAGCAAAAAATGGGAGTTATATATAGACCTCTGGGATTGGTGTGCAAGTGTTGTATAAAGGAAAGACAATTATGCAACAACCAAAAGGTATCTGCCGAAACCCGGGATTGAACCAGGGACCTTTAAGATCTTCGGTCTAACGCTCTCCCAACTGAGCTATTTCGGCTACTCTGGAGCTGTCCCGTTGGTCATTTCTTCAAAATATAAAAACTGCAATTTGTAAGGTCAGTGTATCTTCCAACGCCTAATTCGGTTGTCTTCAATATCACCCGTCATTCACTCACCTCCTCCCAATCCAAAAATATAAATTCTGCTGTAATTTATGTATGAAAATAGGATCCAATTTTCCCCGGCAAAAGACGGGAAAGAAAAGACGAGACGGCCGGGCACGGTGGCTCACGCCTGTAATCTCAGCATTTTGCGAAGCCGTGGAGGGTGGATCACTTGAGGTCAGGAGTTCAAGACCAGCCTGGCCAACATGGTGAAATCCCTTCTTTACAAGAAATATAAAAATTAGCCAGGAGAGGTGGCGCACGCCTGTAGTTTCAGCTACTTCGGAGGCTGAGGCAGGAGAATCGCTTGAACCAGGGAGTTCGAGGCTGCAGTGAGCCGAGATCGCGCCACTGCACTCCAGCCTGGGCGACAGCGAGACTCTGTCTCTAAAAAAAAAAAAAAAAAAAAAAAGGCGAGGAATAGGTCAAATCAGCAAGATAGATGCTCCCATGCTTGGTCACCTTGGAAACACCGCTCAGAAAACTAAAGGAAACTATCTAAAACTAAAATGAAATTATCTAGACTTTTCCTTTTCTCTCCTTTTGGCTCTTTTTTGTTTTGTTTTCTGTCTTGCTCTTCAATGACATGGCAAAAAGGAACAGAAGATTATTGAACACGTTAACCTGGTAGTAGGTTTATAGCTTCCGACTGAAGAAATCCTGAGCGAGCCAATTCTTTTTCTCTGTTTCCTTCCTTTTACTGATCTAGTGCTAACACATCCACCTTAGGTGGTACAGAGAGCCAGGGGTGGAAAAGGCAAGCATATGTTTATTTTAGTGTGACCACGCTATATATATATATATATATATATATATATATATATATATATATATATATATACACACACATATAAATATGAAATATATATAAATTAAAAATGTAAATATATTGTTGATATAGATATTATATATAATATAAAATATACATGTATCTCTCTCTATATATATATATATATAGAGAGAGAGAGAGAGAAGATTCCAGCGAGTGAGAGAGAGAGAGAGAGAGACAGGGTCCCACTCTGCCAGCCTGGAGTGCAGTGGCAATCTCCTCTCATTGCAACTTTCGCCTCCAGGCTCAATCCGTTCTCCCACCTCAGCCTAGAAATTCTTATATCACTTCAAAAGTGTGAAAACATTGGACTCCTCTTGTTAAATAACTTAGAAACAATTTCAGAGTTTACCGAATTTCAGAAACAATCCTCTCTGGAATGAGGAAATAGCTACAGCCAACAACGACTTGCAAATTGAATTTTAATAAAACCGTCCCTATGTCTGGACAGTTTTCAAACTCAGTCTCCTATTCCGAGAGAGTCCAGGCTTTCTGTTTTTAGCCAAAATTTGTTGGGAGGGTCAATTAAAATATTTTTTGAATAATTTCCTCAAAAATTTTAGATTCTCTTACAGGCTTTTTTCTTTTTTTCTCTCCCTCTTGTAAGGCCCGAACCTCCCCAGACAGGAAACAACATTCCTCCAGGTTTATCCCCGCCGCCTGACGTCTCTCCCCATCTGGACGCAGCCTCAGCCTATGCTGCAGAAAACGTTTGAAGTTGAGCATATAGAGAAGGAAAAAAAAAAAAAGGAAAGTGATGTGGAAATTAAAACAGTGGCTACATATAAATCTCAGCACAGTGCTTAGAATGTGTGTAAATGGTTCTAGGAGTGCACTGCACTATTGTGAAAAGTTCATTCAGAAGTAAACGGGAGGGAAGGTGGAGAGGAGCCGAGGGCCAGCTGGCGGAGAGAGGGAAGAGGCGGGGTGCGGTGAAGTGGAGAAAGAAACATAAAAAGGGAGAGGGGTAGAGGACAAGGAAAAGCATCCTCAAGATTATTAGGATTTGGATGGACGGGATGTTAGAGTGAGTCTAAGCACTCACCTCTCCGTCGCTTCTTCTGGATATGAGGGAAGAGAGGTAGGGAGGTAGGCTAGACCAGGAAAGGGACCTGGTTCTTTTCGTCCAGACTGCCACGGCTGCGAGAGCGCCTCGCCGCTCTTTCCATCGCTCGATAGACAGGCTAGGCTCTTTGGAGGAGCACGTGATGTTGCGTTTTTTGTTTGCGGGTTCGGGAACCGCTGATACTGATAGCTTCTGAGGGAGCTGCAGGGATTTCCCGATTTCCTGAGTGTCTGTGTTGAGAGTTAAAAGCGGAATCTGCCGACAGCTTCGAGACTGAGCAGGACAGTGGAAACGTCTAATTTTATTAGGCTTGAAATGCAGAAGATGAGAAAGAAAGTTCCCGTTTGTTTGCTCCACATGTTTCCTTTAGAATGAAGCCGATTGGAAGTCAACTTCACCCTGAAGAAATTCCTCCTGGCGTTTACAATGAGCTTCTTTACTCCCCAAGTCCAGCTCTTGGCTCAAAAGGGCTCTGCAGGTTGGTACAAAGGCTGCGGAAAGGCGAAGTCGCGGTACAATCGGTGTTAACTACATGTGCAGCCACCGTCTTCTTAGTCTTATTACAGGTGCAGAGGTAATATAGGTGAATCCCTCACAAGTTGAGTGGGTTGACCTCAAAATTGACTTTAGCGATGGCTTGTGACCACCTGGTAGGTGGTGGACCATTACAGCGTTTGGAAAATGAGTAAAACAAAGGATGCATACGGAAGCCCCACTAGCTTGCTTGGCTTCTGCAGATGCAGAGAGAGGTCGTTTTTCTGCCTTCTGGGTGTTGAGTAACTTAATTTTTTATCTTTTGTTTAAATGAAATAGAGCTGAAAATAGAAGGCGATTTCCTTTTAACGAGATAGTATTGAGATGCTTGCAGAGTATCCCCGCGTGGATTCTGCTTAGCTCTGTGATACCAGCATCAGAAACTGTGCAAAGAGCTCTAATCTGGAGGTGTGGGTTGTTCAGTAGCTTAGAAAGAGGTTATTCCTGGAGAATAAGTGCAGCAGGTAGAAAAGGATCCATTGGGATTGGGAGAATAAAAGTTCATTCATTATTTTTATTGATGGAAAACAAAGAAATGAGCTTTACCCTATACTGATCTTGGTTCCTGGAGTTCCGAGTGCTTGCATCTCAGGGCAGAAACTTCCTTAGAGGACCCAGAGAAATATGTTCCCCCTACCAAATGTCAGCTGAAGTGACTGTGATCTTTTTCTCATTTGTCATTATATTTGCCATTTATTGTATTCTTGTAGTTAAATAGTTTACATTAAGTTTTAGAGTTTGTGGGTTTCTAATGGAAAAAGTGACCACCAGCACATCAGGTCCTCAGCCACTGGCAGTGAAATCTTTTAGTGAAAGCTTGTAGGGCTTCTGCAACCTGGGTTAGAAGAAGAAATACAAGGCCAAGCATGGTAGCACACGCCTGTAATCCCAGCACTTTGGAAGTCTGAGGTGGGCAGATCACCTGAGGTCGGGAGTTCTAGACTAGCCTGACCAACAGGGAGAAACCCCCATCTCTACTAAAAATACAAAATTAGCCAGGCATGGTGGTGCATGGTTGTAATCCCAGCTACTCAGGAGGCTGAGGCAGGAGAATCACTTGAATCCGGGAGGCAGAGGTTGTGGTGAGCCAAGATTGTGCTATTGCACTCCAGCCTGGGCAACAAGAGTGAAACTCTGTCTCAAACAAACAAACAAACAAACAAACAAACACCACACGCAGGAAAGGACTTGCGCCACGTGGTTCTATGGTTTCTGATTATTTCATTTACAACTAGAAATAGGCTGGAGGGCCAGGAGTAGTACTTGCTTCCATAGTGCGTGGTTCACCTTAGTGACTGCTGGGACTGCTTAGAAAGAATAGGTGGATAATCGTAAGCAGCAAATAACCTTAAGTGAATGAACACGAATTACCTCTCTGTATGAGAGAGAGATGTAGAGGTCAACCCAAATATCTTGACAAGGCAGGACATTCTGGACAGCTGGGGAAGGTCATGGAGCTCTTCTTACAGTGCCACAGGGAAGAAAATGGACCTCTGGAGGTACTGGGGAATCAGCCCAAGACCTCGTGCATGATAAGTACACTCTCTACCACTGAGCTATACCCCCTCATACCTCCTGTGTATTTGGAAAACTGGTGACCACCATTATCTGAGTATGTGCTCTATGTCATAAAGACAATTACCATGTGTTTCCAATTCCACTGTTTATGATTTCCCTATATCTAAGTGCCCCCTCTCTTAGGCACGGTTACATCAAGAAAAGGTACGTTAACAGTAAAAAGAAAAACACTGTTCCTGATTTGGGATCAGCAAATCTATTTCCAAATAGAGCATTTCAAAAGTATAACATAACCACATTGAAAATTCAGGAAAGAATTGACCTAAGAAAATGGTTTATACATTGTTCTCATTGTAAAAAGAAAAAGAACAGCAAGCATATCTTAAACTCTATGTATCAGGAATATTTTCTGTAATGCTAAGGCAATAGCAATTCTGATATTTTGTGTGAATTTTAGGATTGGAAAAATGAGCATGTGTGCGCCTGTATGTTGTTGGAACCAGGCTCTCACTGTGGGAAAGGAGGAAGGTAAAGAATAGTCCTATTGGTGATGATGGGAATTAGAGGCATCAGTATGAAATTATACACTTAATTGTAAAATTTCTCCACAGATCTCTCTGCTAATTGGGCCTAGAAGAAATGATACCTCAGATGCAATGAGCAAAGATAATTCTATATATTGATTTTCAAATACCACTCCCTACTAAAAGGAACCAGCGATACTGATAGAAAGTAGCTACTGGTGTCAACTACACTGACTCCGGGACTGTGCCAGGGAAACTACAAGATGAACCTAAGATATCTTGCTGTGCCAGAATGTAGGTGCTCAGAATTGATGGGTATGATTTGAAAGGACAGAGAAGCCAGCTTGAAAGGGATCTCAATGGCCAAATCTGACACATTTTGAGCATTAATGATGACAATAAGTGATTATCAATCTTGGGAACTTAAACACATAAATATGGAAGATGGGAAGATTTTCCTTACAGTTGTGTGCCAAGTGATAAATGTGGAAGTAAGGATAAAATTAGAAAATCCTCATTTGGGCTGGGCGTGGTGGCTCACGTCTGTAATTCCAGCACTTTGGGAGGCCGAGGCAGGGGGATCACCTGAGGTTGGGAGTTCGAGACCAGCCTGACCAACATGGAGAAACCCCGTCTCTACTAAAAATACAAAACTGTGGTGAGCCGAGATCACACCATTGCACTCCAGCCTGGGCAAGAAGAGCGAAATTCTATCTCAAAAAAAATAATAATAATAATAATAAATAATGAGAAAAACTGACATCACATGCCTCTTGGTGTGATAGAGGGTAACATGATTTCTGTGACATTTCCATGACCTGAATGTAACCATGACTACACAAATTAAGAAACATTCAACAAAACCACTGGCATATGCTCTTCAAAAACATATTCATGAAAGACAAGAAGATTAAGAATCTGTTCCAAAGTGAAGGAGACTGAAAAGTCAAGACAACTAGATTCATATGTGATTCTGAAATGGCACCTAGTTTGGGAGAGAAATTCCTATAAAAGATTTTATTGATACAATTAAAATTTTTATAGACTGTATATTAGAGAATACTATTTTATCAATGTTAAGTTCTCTAAATTTGATAATTGTGCTGTGGTAAGAAATTGACCTTGTTCTTAGGAAATACACATTGAAGTATTTAGGAATAAAAAGATATAATGTCTGAAAATCATTATCAAATAGTTTAGAGAAATAATTTTTGTCATATGTACATATACATATATATACACACACACATACACACACACACATATATATTCCACTGTTGCTGATTGGTTGTTGAGGTGAGGAAGAGGCAAGACCGTGTTCTGAAATAATGTCAAGATTTGGACGATATGTGTTTCTCAAATGGTTCCCATTCCATTTTAAATGTTGCTAGGCTGAGACAAAGATACAAATTCCCCAATTTATATTAGAATTTAGCAGGTAGTTTATTTTGTTTTGTTTTGAGACAGAGTTTTGCTCTTGTTGCCCAGGCTGGAGTGCGATGGGAGGATCTTGGCTCACTGCAAACTCTGCCACCTGGGTTCAAGCAATTCTCCTGCCTCAGACTCCCAAGTACCTGGGATTACAGGTGTGTGCCACCACTCCCGACTAATTTTGTATTTTTAGTAGAGATGGGGGTTTCACCATGTTGGTCAGGATGGTCTCAAACCCCCAACCTGAGGTGATCTGCCCGCCTCGGCCTCCCAAAGTGTTGGGATTACAGGCGTGAGCCACTGTGCGCAGCCAACTCCTTTATAATCTTATAAGACCACCGTAGGATATGTGGTCTGTGGTTTACTAAAATGTCAACATGTAGCACATTACTGCACTCATATCAGATTTTTGGCCTCCAGAAGTGTGAAAGAATAAATTTCTGTTGTTATAAGCCATCTAATTTGAGATAATTTGTTACAGCAGCCATAGGAAACTAATCAATGACAAGCTTATTCTACTCTGCCAACTGCCTTGAGTGGTTTTGAGGCTCATGAAGTCTAAATAACGTAATATTGAAATTAACATCTTGGCAAAATTCAACAGCCCTTCATGCTAAAAACTCTCAATAAACTAGGTATTGATGTGATGTATCTCAAAATAATAAGAGCTATTTATGAAAAACCCACAGCCAATATCATATTGAATGGGCAAAAACTGGAAGCATTCCCTTTGAAAACTGGCACAAGACAGGGATGCCCTCTCTCATCACTCCTATTCAACATAGTGTTGGAAGTTCTGGCCAGGGCAATCAGGCAAGAGAAACAAATAAAGGGTATTCAGTTAGGAAAAGAGGAAGTCAAATTGTCCCTGTTTGCAGATGACATGATTGTATATTTAGAAAACCTCATCATCTCAGCCCAAAATCTCCTTAAGCTGATAAGCAACTTCAGCAAAGTCTCAGGATACAAAATCAATGTGCAAAAATCACAAGCATTCCTATACACCAGTAACAGACAGAGAGCCAAATCATGAGGGAACTCCCATTCACAATTGCTACAAAGAGAATAAAATACCTGGGAATCCAACTTACAAGGGATGTGAAGGACCTCCTCAAGGAGAATTACAAACCACTGCTTAACAAAATAAATGAGGACACAAACAAATGGAAGAACATTTCATGCTCATGGATAGGAAGAATCAATATCATGAAAATGGCCCTACTGCCCAAGGTAATTTAAAGATTCGGTGCGATCCCCATCAAGCTACCAATGACTTTCTTCACAGAATTGGAGAAAAACTATTTTAAAGTTCATATGGAACCAAAAAAGAGCCTGCATTGCCAAGACAATCCTAAGCCAAAAGAACAAAGCTGGAGGCATCATGCTACCTGACTTCAAACTATACTATATGGCTACAGTAACTGAAACAGCATGGTACTGGTACCAAAACAGAGATATAGACCAATGGAACAGAATAGAGCCCTCAGAAATAATACCACACGTCTACAACCATTTGATCTTTGACAAACCTGACAAAAACAAGAAATGGGGAAAGGATTCCCTATTTAATAAATGGTGCTGAGAAAACTGGCTAGCCATATGTAGAAAGCTGAAACTGGATCCCTTCCTTACACCTTATACAAAAATTAATTCAAGATGGATGAAAGACTTAAATGTTAGACCTAAAACCATAAAAACCCTAGAACAAAACCTAGGCAATACCATTCAGGACATAGGCATGGGCAAGGACTTCATGTCTAAAACACCAAAAGCAATGGCAACAAAAGCCAAAATAGACAAATGGGATCTAATTAAACCAAAGAGCTTCTGCACAGCAAAAGAAACCACCATCAGAGCGAACAGGCAACCTACAGAATGGGAGAAAATTTTTGCAACCTACCCATCTGACAAAGGGCTAATATCTAGAATCTACAAAGAACTTAAACAAATTTACAAGAAAAAATCAAACAACCCCATCAAACCCCAACAAAAAGTGGGCAAAGGATATGAACAGACACTTCTCAAAAGAAGACATTTATGCAGCCAATGGACACATGAAAAAATGCTCATCATCACTGGCCATCAGAGAAATGCAAATCAAAACCACAATGAGATTCCATCTCACACCAGTTAGGATGGCAATCATTAAAAAGTCAGGAAACAACAGGTGCTGGAGAGGATGTGGAGAAATAGGAACACTTTTACACTGTTGGTGGGACTGTAAACTAGTTCAACCATTGTGGAAGACAGTGTGGCGATTCCTCAAGGATCTAGAACTAGAAATACCATTTGACCCAGCCATCCCATTACTGGGTATATACCCAAAGGATTATAAATCATGCTGCTATAAAGACACATGCACACGTATGTTTATTGTGGCACTATTCACAATAGCAAAGACTTGGAACCAACCCAAATGTGCCTTCTATATGTAAGGCACATGTCCATCAATGATAGACTGAATTTAACAAACGTGGCACATATACACCATGGAATACTATGCAGCCATAAAAAAGGATGAGTTCATGTCCTTTGTAGGGACATGGATGAAGCTGGGAACCATCATTCTGAACAAACTATCACAAGGACAGAAAACCAAACACTGCACGTTCTCACTCATAGGTGGGAATTGAACAATGAGAACATTTGGACACAGGGTGGGGAACATCACACACCGGGGCCTGTCGCGGGGTGGGGTGATAGGGGAGGGATAGCATTAGGAGAAATACCTAATGTAAATGAGGAGTTAATGGGTGCAGCACACCAACATGGCACATGTATACATATGTAACAAACCTGCACGTTGTGCACAGGTACCCTAGAACTTAAAGTATAATGATTAAAAAAAAAAATCTTAAAAAAAAAAGAGGCCGGGCGCGGTGGCTCAAGCCTGTAATCCCAGCACTTTGGGAGGTCAAGACAGGCGGATCACGAGGTCAGGAGATCGAGACCATCCTGGCTAACACGGTGAAACCCGGTCTCTACTAAAAATACAAAAAAAAAAAAAAAAATTAGCCAGGCATAGTGGCAGGCGCCTGTAGTCCCAGCTACTCAGGAGGCTGAGGCTGGAGAATGGTGTGAACCCAGGAGGCGGAGCTTGCAGTGAGCCGAGATCACGCCACTGCACTCCAGCCTGGGCGACTGAGTGAGACTCCATCTCTAAAAAAAAAAAAAAAAAAACAGAAATTAACGTCTTGGGGTCACGTGTTTACTTCTCATGTGACAGGCAACGAAAAGAGAGTAGGACACCTGAATGTGCTTTGTACTAAGGAGTGGTATTAAGAACTCGGAAACTGACCGTTGAAGGTTCTCGGGAGCTGAACCTGAGGCCTCCTATATGTAAGGCACACGTTCTATCACTGAACTACATCTCCTCATGCCAAGAGATATTTGTGTCGTCCTCCAAGTACTATTGCAGTATATGAAAACAATAAAAATATGGAAATAAAAAATAACTTAAAAATTAAAAAGGTGGCCGGGCACGGTAGCTCACGCTTGTAATCGCAGCAGTTTGGAAGTTGGAGGCGGTCAGATCATTTAAGGTCAGAAGTTCGAGGCCAGCCGAGCCAACAAGGTGAAACCCTGTCTCTACTAAAAATACAAAAATTAGCCGGGCGTGATGGCACGTGCCTGTAACCCCAGCTGCTCAGAGGTTGAGGCAGGAGAATCTCTTGAACCTGGGAGGTGGAGGCTGCAGTGAGCGGAGATGGCGCCACTGCACTCCAGCCTTGGGGACAGAGTGAGACTCTGTCTCAAAAAACAAACAAACAAAAACCCAAAAACCCTAAAAAGGTATTTCTCCAATCTAAAGATGTAAAAAATTAAATAAAATGAAAAATAAAGGAATATCTCGTTATATTCTGTGGGTCTCCATTCCTGTGTTCATTGTTTTAGCACTAAGTGTTGGGTTTAGAAGCAGGATTTGTGACCATTTTAAGTTGGAAGACCCCCAGCTGTGGGGGATATTGAAGTTTTGGCAAATAAAGCTTGAAATGGAACGCAGAATACTGGAAACTTGCGTTAGAAAACTGACCAGCTTTTTCCTGAATAAAGCACTTCTGCTATTGCTGTTTGCTTCACAGGAATGGTAAGAGCAAAACTTTGATGAGAAAACCCCAGGTGAGAATGAAAACCACATGCAACCTGTTATTCATTGCCAAGGGGTTCTTGATTGTACTACAGCATGAAGGCAACTGAGGAGGTTCATGGAGTAGCCCAGAATA
The DNA here is from genome assembly GCF_000001405.40 of Homo sapiens. Taxonomy (NCBI): domain Eukaryota; kingdom Metazoa; phylum Chordata; class Mammalia; order Primates; family Hominidae; genus Homo; species Homo sapiens. The sequence continues at coordinate 99,200 of NT_167244.2, forward strand.
ATGTTCAAGACATGAAATAAATAGCAGATTCAAGGATGGAGAAAAACTTTGAAATTTTGAAAGCACATTCATAGGTAGCTAGACACAGGATTCAAAGACTTATTGGATTTATAGAGCAAGCCAGAAAGTGGGGAATCCATAAAAGAGAGCCTCAACAAACAGGAGGAAAAAAAGCAGAATAGAGATGCTTATTGTTCTTTGAAGGAATGGACAAGATATTAGGAGGAGGAGGTGAGTTTGTTTGGGAACGTGTTGAACTTACCATATTCTTCCGTAGGATCCTGCCCATTGGTGAAACACAGTGAACTTAGCCCAGTGCTCTGATCTGAATACGTGGAGGTGGGAGTGAGTAGAAGGCACCAATACAGTGTGAGTACAATGAGAACTCAAAGTGTCCTTTGAGATATGAAGATCAGAAACTTACTTACTGATAGTTGTGAAAAGCAAAAAAATGAACTTCTTCCTAGCTGATCTTCAACCCTGGAATTCACACTGGTTGTCACCATGGCCTTGAAACTTTCACAAAAGACCCAGAAAGTCTCATTTCCTGGCTAGTTTCCCAGTAGGTGTTATCTTTTCTCATTCATCTTCATTCTCATTCTCCTTATGTATGACTTTACCTATATTGGTAAGCATATTGCTGAGCCCCTTTCGAGGTTGGGAACACCTTATGGTTTGGCAGAATTTCTCTCTGTTGGCTCATAGGGATAGCGGAATAGGTAAGAGGAAACATAATGGCAGGTTTCACTGAAATTGGGTATTTAAGTGTCACCCACAAAACTCTACAAGCTCTGGTGTGTGTGTGTTTGTGCGCGCGCGCGCGCGTGAAAGTGCTGGGAGGATGTGAGAAAAATTATCTAGGCTGTTTTGGCCGGGCGCGGTGGCTCATGGCTGTAATCCCAACACTTTGGGAGGCCGAGGCGGGCGGATCACGAGGTCAGGAGACCGAGACCATCCTGGCTAACACGGTGAAACCCCGTCTCTACTTAAAAAAAAAAACAAAAAACAAAAAATTAGCCAGGTGTAGTGGAGGGCGCCTGTAGTCCCAGCTACTCGGGAGGCTGAGGCAGGAGAATGGCGTGAACCCAGGAGGCGGTGCTTGCAGTGAGCCGAGATCGCGCTACTGCACTCCAGCCTGGGCGACAGAGCAAGACTCTGTCTCAAAAAAAAAAAAAAAAAGAAAGAAAGAAAGAAAGAAAGAAAATTATCTAGACTGTTTGATGGTGTGAAAGTTGTTTCCAGAGTCATCATGTAATTATTCTCTAACTTGCACCTGAAGAAACCAAGATACCAGTTAGATTACCAGAAGTTCCCCACAAGGAGGTGTTTCTTTTTTTTTTTTTTTCTGTTTGCCCCAAAGTACAGAGAACACTGTGAGAATTGTTTAAGTTTCTGTAAGCATTCAGAAATATCTATGCATGGGGAGACATAGGATGAGTTCCAAATATATGAGATTTTTCTGATGAACCAACCATTTATCTCAGGAGATAGAACTCATTCATACTCAATTACTCTGCTCAGGGAGCCTGCAGACATGCGAATGACATCTCTAGACAATCTACAACCAGAGAGAAGATTGTAACTGGTTGAGTACTGTTTTCTTAAAGTTGACAAAAAGGTGGAGTAATAGTTTTCATGTAAGGAGCTCTTATATGATAATCTAGAAATTGAATTCACTCTATATTCTTTGGGATTTACATCTTGATTTGTTGACAGGGAGAGGGAGGTTTGATTACACTGTTGTAAGTCTCCCACCTTGATTGAATATTAAAAAAGAATTCCTGAACTAGACAGTAAAGGGTTAAATAATCTTTTTTCTTCAATTAAATATGTCTTTGAAAAGAATAAAACTCTACCTTTTGAGTCAGATTGACTACATGGCCTGATGGATTGTGTCTGCTTCCATATCACTGTGCAGCCAATGGTCCTGCCCACCTGCCGCTTCCCACACATTCACCCAGGGTCTCACGCATGGCCACGTCCTCATTCCTCTCAGAAGTCCTTAATTTTTTTTTTTTTTTTTTGAGATGGAGTCTCATTGTGTCACCCAGGCTGGAGTGCAGTGGCATGATCTTGGCTCACTGCAACCTCCGCCTCCGAGGTTCAAGCAATTCTCCTGCCTCAGCCTCCCAAGTAGCAGTGATTACAGGTGGTCGCCACCATGCCCAGCTGATTTTTGAAAGAGGTCCTTAATTTCTCTGTGGAGAAAAATTTTTTTAAAATATGATCTCATTGAAGTATACAACCCCAAAATAAAATATAGTTGAATTTCCAAAATTCATCTACAATGTACCTTAAAATGATTCACTATTGTCCTAGGCCAAAGATAGGCACTGTTTGCTCTCAAAGAAGTACTTCTATCTGTCATATGTCATTTGTTTTCATTGTCCCAAGATGTTTTTGAAATCTCCATCCTATATTTTCTATAGCTTTCTTATATTAAACTCTTGGTTTTTGCATCCTATCCATTTCTACCCTAAATTACAGAGGTGGACTTCCTTAAAGAAGTCTATTGTGGGGAGCAGAAAAAAATATTTCCATTTGGGCCTGAGCCCTAGCATAAAGCAATGGTAATAATTCATGATAATTTTCCTCATGCTTTTACTATATTCCTTTGCAAATTGATTCCCATGATTGAAGCCTGTGAATAATTTTTTTCTGCCACAGTGAGTATAAGTGGCAAAGAGACATTGTGGAACTGTACTTTGAAAATGAGAGAAGAGAGAGAAAAAATGTCAACAGAACAGAAAATTATCTATTTCCCACATCAAGAAAGTCTGGGTCCTCAGTACTAACTCTGAATCTTTCTTTAAAGAAGTAAACTGAAACCCAAGACATCTTAATCTGAGAAAGAATGACTTTTGGAACTTATTTTCTCCATTGAAAATTTCCTAATCACTTCACAGGGACAGAGGTGGCCTGATATTATATCGGAAACCAAGGATTTCCCAATTCTTGAGATATCCTTCAGCTCACACTTTCATTAGGGTTAGCAAAGGGTTTTGGATCTTTAAAATCTATCACAGGGCTTAGAATACAAAGTGGTGTTAATACAAAAGTTCTTGAAGATTTGGTGGTAGCTGATGAGAAGAGGGCTGTGTATTCTGGAATGATTACAAGGTCTTATTCTATTTAAAATGTTTCAGAGCAAGGATACAAACTTCCCAGTTTACATTAGAAGTTAGCACAGCCTTTATTGCAAAACTTGCGAAAAAGAAAATAAAGGCCGGGAGTGGTGGCTCATGCCTGTAATCCCAGCACTTTGCGAGGCGGGCGGATCATGAGGTCAGGAGTTCGAGACCAGCCTGGCCAATATGGTGAAACCCCGTCCCTAAAAAAAATATAAAAAATTAGCCGGGCGCGGTGGCGCGCGCTTGTTGTCCCAGTTACTCGGGATGCTGAGGCAGGAGAATCGCTTGAACCCGGGAGGCGGAGGTTGCAGTGAGTCGAGATCGCGCCACTGCACTCCAACCTGGACGACAGAGTGAGACTCCGTCTCAAGAAAAAAAAAAAAGAAAATGAAAACTTCACATCATATTCAATCATGAATAGTGATTCAAAAAATATTACTAAGTACAATATTGCCAGAGAGGCAAGGAACAGAGTCAATGATTAGAACACAAAAATGATTCAGCAATAGAAATATATATTTTTTGCAATTATGTTTTCTGTTAGAATAGAAAATTGGGGGAAAAAACACAGCCGCGTATTTATACTATACACCCTTACTCCATCCACGTCAAAGCACGTCATATTGCTTCTTAAATGTGCAAAAGAATCTCTTGTGGATCTTGTTAAATTGCTACTTCTGGTTCAGTACGTCTGAGGTGAAGCTGAGATTTCGCTCTTCTAACAAGCTCTCCGGTGCCACCAACTCTTGTGTGGACCAAGAGTCTGAAAGATATCCTTACGATAGAGGGCGCACCTGTCTTAGGTAAAATTACTTCTGTAACGTCATCTAAGGGAAGTCAAATTATCCGGCAGGAGTGAAGACAGAATAAAACTGGAAATCAGTCCGTGAACTTTGAGATCTTCAGCAGAGCATGCTTCCCAGTGGAGCTATTTCGGCAGAAGTGTGACGCCTCTACATTCATTGATGAAAATAACTTTCTCAATTTCCCAGTTTGGAAGGCTTTGCGTTTGTCAGGGCTCAGCCTGCGATGGATCATGGCTAAACAAGGACCAGAAAAAAAATAAAGGAAATCGGCTGGGAGCGGTGGTGGCTTACTCCTGTAATCCCAGCACTGTGGGAGGCCGAGGCGGGAGGATCACGAGGTCAGGAGATCGCGACCATCCTGGCTAACACGGTGAAACCCTGTCTCTACCAAAAAAATAGAAAAAATTAGCCGGGCGTGGTGACGGGCGCCTGTAGTCCCGGCTACTCGGGAGGCTGAGGCAGAAGAATGGCGTAAACCCGGGAGGCGGAGCTTGCAGTGAGCCAAGATCGTGCCACTGGGCGACAGAGCGAGAGACTCCGTCTCAAAAAAAAAAAAGTAATAAAGAAAATTGAGAGCTTACGTTTTTCTTTTATTAAATATTTCCACATTTATCTTTTATTTCCTACTTTTTAAATAACAATACTCCAAAGGTTAATGAGCTCGTCAATTTGGCGACGCCATTGAAGTTTTGGAATCCGGAGCCGTCTTTGTCTTCCAGCTCCATCTTTTCCACCTTTTGCTTAGGCAGTCCCCCGAGTCGTGTCAAGGCTGAGGAGTAGAAATGGAACAGCACTAATATTAATGGCAAAACCGTTGTGAAATAGGGTTACTTTCTGTTTAAGCAAGGAAAATAAAGTAAAGCAATGGGAAAAAAATTAAAAGCAAAAGGAATGGAGGTGCCGGGGATTGAACCCGGGGCCTCGTGCATGCTAAGCACGCGCTCTACCACTGAGCTACACCCCCGTACTGAAACGGTTCTCTCGAGAGTATATTCAAGATCAGAATCTGACCCTTTTGCTAGGTTTCAGAACCATTAGTTGTAATCAGCCAAGGTCTATTTTATTTAGTTATTTCTGATATCTCAAATTTAGGTTTTGCGTCCCTCTTTGCTGACAGCTGAGCAAACCGCATTCTACACCGAAGGCCCTCTATTGATGGCCCTGGGATTTTTCTGCTCGTCAGTCCGGAGTCACTTACCGGGCACCACTAGAAGAACCCGGGATGAAACATTTTCTCCCGTGTCTTGACTCTCTCCTTTCTTTCACCGCTGCTTTAAAGGGCTGCCAGAAAGCCACAAAGTACAAAGCGAGGCATTTAGAGACCATAGTAGATGCAGGTGGCGAGGGAAGACAGGTGGAGAAACGCAGACGGGTTCGTGTCGGTGCAGCCACTGCTTTGGACCCGAGCCTCCGTCCCGCCGGGGGCCGGGGTGCTGAGCCCAGCGAGGCGCGGACTGGGGAGCGAGGAAGAGGAGCACCCGCCAGATCGCGCCCCCTTTCGGGCAGAATCCGCTCCCGGTCCGGTCCCGATTGGCAGAAAACGATACGAGGGCGGTATACACTCAACACGCGCATGAACGATTCATCAAGCCCTCCGTGTGCCGGGTCTGGCTCACCAACCTCATCCTCTGAGCTCCGGGCTTCTGCCTCCCAGCCCAAGGAACCCACAGGGTCTCAGCCAACACTGGGAGAGTAGCTTAAATGGGCAGAAAGACAAGATAAGGGGATGTGGTGAATAACAGAATTATCCAATCCTATTATCAGCCCATCTGAGATTAAAGGGACGTCAATCATACTTGAATACTTTATTTAAAAAAAACAGTTTGCAGAGGGTCGCATACAAGAAGAATAAAGTGGTTTTTTTTTTTTCATAAAAATGTGGATTCAGGAGCATTACCGGAAATAATCAAGGAACGAGGAAGAGTGTGGCGAGAGAGTTCGGGTCCGGTATACCTCTCTCTCCGCACCACATTCTTTTGTAGTACCTGTGAAACATTCATGAAAACGGACCACAGAAGAAAACCTCAGTAAGTTCCAAAGTATAGAAATAACACAAACATCATTCTCTGACCATCATGCAATAAAACTAGAAATTGATAAAATAAAAAATAAAAGTCACTTCCACCTGAAAATTTTAAAGCATGCTATAATACAACTCGAGTCAAGAAGGAAATACAAATTTTAATTACATAATTTCTTGAAAGGGACAAAAGTGCAAATGTGACATAGAATCTGTGAGATAGAGCTAAAGCATTTATCAGAAGGAAATTTATTTCCTCACATACCTATATCGATAACAAAAAATAACAAATGAATCAAACACAGCTCAAGATGCTACTAAATGAACAACAAAATAAACCAAAAGAATGAGGAAGGAAGGGTTGTAAGGACAAATTCAGAGAATGAGTTAGAAACAAAGTATAACTAATAAAGATACAAAAAAGGTGGATATTTGAAAGTCAACAAAATAGACAAACCTCTAGCCAACAAAGAGAAAATTAGTGCAAATACACAAAATTAGAACTGGAGGAAATAATCATCAACACAGAAGACCTTTTTTGAAATCATCAGAGATAACATAACACAACTAGCAAATAACTGGCAAACTTAGTGGATTTTTTAGACAAATGTAGCATACTCAAACTAACCCTTGTAGAGACAGAAAGTCTAAACAGACCAGTTAAGAAAAATAGTTTAACAGGCATACTCAATAAAAAGGGCACCAAGCTCAAATACTTTCATAAAGAAATCCTACCAAACTGTCAAATATCAAAAAATCATGATGCTACTTAAATTATTCGAAGCATAGACACTAGCACTTTATAAAGTTAGTATAACATTTCAGTTTGCACTAAAAATGAAAACTACAGGTCAATTTCACATATGAAATATATGAAATGTAATGCCTAAATCTTAAATAAAATTTATAGCAAACAGAATACAATAGCACATTTAAAACAGTAATACAGGATGTCCAAGTAGGGTTTATTCCAGGAGTGTAAAGATCACTCATTATTAGGAAAGATATTAATATAATCCATTGTAATTGGAACTGGAGGTCATTATGTTAAATAAAGTAAGCGAGAAACAGAAAGACAAATTTCACATCTTTTCAGTCATATGTGGGAGTTTAAAAAGTTGATCTCATGGAGGTAGAGAGTAGAATCATAGATACCAGGGTCAGGGAAGGGTGTGTGCATTGGAGCTGCGTACAAAGGCAGGTTGGTCAATGTGTACAAACATATAATTAGATAGAAGGTATAGGTTCTTTTTTTTTTTTTTTTTTTTGAGTTGGAGTCTGGCTGTCTTGCCCAGGCTGGAGTGCAGTGGCACCATCCCAGCTCACTGCAACCTCCACCTCCCAGGTTCAAGTGATTCTCCTGCCTCAGTCTCCTGAGCAGCTGGGATTACAGGTGCCTGCCACCACAGCCAGCCTCTAATGTTGATAGTAGAGTAGGGTGACTATAGTTAGCAACAATGTATTGTATATTTCAAAGTAGCTATAAGAGATAACCTGAAACCAACACATAGAAATGATAAATACTCAAAGTGATGGATACCCCAAATACCCTGACTTTACTCATAATAAGTGAAAGACATACTAAATTAGATTGGATAGCATACTTTGTTGTCAAGGTTGCCGAGAAATTAGTCTTTTCATAGAGTACTGGTGGGAATGGAAAATGGTATAATTCCAAGGGCAGAAAATTTGCAGTATCTAGAAAAAATGTATAATTATTTACCCTTTAACCCACAAATTCCACTTCTAAAAAGCTATCCCTAATATATACTATCAAAATAAAAAGGGCCAGGCACAGTGGCTTACGCCTGTAATCTCAACACTTTGGAAGGCCAAGGCCGGCAAATCACTTGAGGCCAAAAGTTTGAGACCAGCCTGGTCAACACAGTGAAACCCTGCCTCTACTAAAAATACAAAAAGTAGTCAGGTGTAGTGGCGGGCACTTGTAATTGCAGCTCCTCAAGAGGCTGAGGCAGGAGAATTGCTTGAATCCCAGGAGGCAGAGGTTGCAGTGAGCCAAGATGTCACCACAGCACTCCAGCCTGGGTGAGAGAGCAAAACTCCATCTCAAATAATAATAATAATAATAAATACTAAATAAATAAAAAGGAAAACAGATGCATGACTATTCATCACAACTCTATTTGTAAAGCAAAAGAAGGAAACAATCCAGGCCGGGTGCGGTGGCTCATGCCTGTAATCCCAGCACTTTGGGAGGCTGAGGCAGGTGGATCACCAGGTCAGGAGATTGAGACCATCCTGGCTAACATGATGAAACCCCGTCTCTATTAAAATACAAAAAATTAGCTGGGTGTGGCGGCACGTGCCTGTAGCCCCAGCTACTAGGGAGGCTGGGGCCAAGATCATGCCACTGCACTCTAGCCTGGGAGACAGAGCGAGACTCCATCTCAAAAAAAAAAAAACAAAAAAAAGGAAACAATCCAAATGTCTGACAAAAGGGTCAATTTGAGAAAACTATGGTACATCAATATAATGTCACTGTAAAAAGGAATACTAAATGATCAGCTTCAATCTCTCCTTCCCCTATGAAGAAGGGCATATATGTATTTGAACTTCACTGGGACACTGGGTAATCACTCTCCTACAATTACCCCATGCTTATGTATGTTAAATAAATTTTGTATGTCTTTTTCTTTTATTAATCTGCCTTTGTCACTTCATTTTCAGCAAATTTCAGTGGGCAGAGAGGAAGCTTTTCCGCCACCCCTACATAGTTAATACTCTACCTTGAGCATGGCACACAGAGAATACTAAGGTGCTAATAGCTCTTACTGCGGCTTGTGAGGCAGTGGCTTCAAAACAGGAAATACAAGCCAAGAGGATTTCAGACTACTGCACTTCATCCACTGAGTGTTCAGCATCTAGAACTTTTCTTCCACAAAGAGAAACATGCAATTGTTACCACCTCTAGCTCCAGAGTCCTAGCTCAGAGATTTTTCCTATAGAAAGAAATGAGCCAGCCGGGCATGGTGGCTCATGTCTGTAATCCCAGCACTTTGGGAGGCCAAGGCGGGCAGATCACCTGAGGTCAGGAGTTTGAGACCAGCCTGGCCAACATGGCGAAAACCCATCTCTACTAAAAATACAAAAAAAATAGCTGGGCCTGGTGGTGTGTGCCTATAATTCCAGCTACTATGGAGGCTGAGGAAGGAGAATCGCTTGAACCCAGGAGGTGGAGGTTGCAGTGAGCTGAGATTGTACCACTGCACTCCAGCCTGGGCGACAGAGCAAGACTCCATCTCAAAAAAAAAAAAAAAAAAAGAAGAAGAAGAAATAAATGAGCCAAAAAGTAGATAGCTTCCAATCCTTTCCCAAAATAACTGATTTAATTTGTAACATAGAATAGAGAAGTGGAAAGCTAAGGGCATTCTCAAGAATGGTGGAGATTTTGATGAAAGGTAATTGGGAGGAAATTTGTGAATCTAAGAAAGATAGATCTTAAACTGCAGTCTGGCTAGTATGCAGGAGAGAATCAGGAAATAAGACAGGTAGGAGGAACCCTTTTGGAGTCAGGACAAATATCAAATACTTACATCAGAAACTATTCCATTTAAGGAGCTACATTTTGATTGGATTTGTTCATAGAGGAATTTATACCTCAAGGCATTGTTGAAAACAATACAACAACTGGTCAGCAATAACTGAAACACAACAGTAGGGTGTGGTCAGAAAAAGAGTGAAAAAGAACATTGCCAGCACCACTGTCATCCCAGGGTGACTGGGGGCATACCAAAAACTGCATCACCACGAAGACTAATGTCAGAGGATTAGCACTCTTGGGAGTGAAATATCCAGGGTTATATAATACTCCATGTTAATAAAATGAATGGCAATAATCAAATATCATCTCAATTGAGATACAGAAAGGATTCAACAAAATTCAACACACTTTTATGAAAAAAGCACTCAGCGGCCAGGCGCGATGGCTCACGCCTGTAATCCCAGCACTTTGGGAGGCCGAGGCGGGCGGATCACGAGTTCAGGAGATCGAGACCATCGTGGCTAACACGGTGAAACCCCGTCTCTACTAAAAAAAATGAAAAAAATTAGCCGGGCATGGTGGCAGACGCCTGTAGTCCCAGCTACTCGGGAGACTGAGGCAGGAGAATGGCGTGAACCCGGGAGGCAGACTTTGCAGTGAGCAGAGATGGCGCCACTGCACTGCAGCCTGGTCAAGGGAGCAAAACTCCGACTCAAAAAAAGAAAAAAGAAAAGAAAAAAGAAAAAAGTACTCAGCAAACTAGGAATAGAATGAAACTACCTCAACTTAATAAAAGCCATACATGAAAAGCCCACAGGTAATATATTCAGTGGCCTTAGCTTTTCCTCTAAGATCTAGAACAAGGCAAGGATGCTTACTCTCACCACTACTGTTCAACATAGCACTAGAAGTCCTACTCAGAGCAATTAGACAAGAAAAAAAGCCCCAGTGCGCTGGCTACAGCCTGTAATCCCAGCACTTTGGGAGGCCGAGAGGGTGCACTGCTTGAGCCCAGGTGTTCAAGACCAGCCTAGGCAACATGGTGAAACCCCATAACCATAAAAATCTACAAAAACTAGCCGGGCATGATGGCATGCACCTGTAATCCCAGCTACTTGGGAGGCTGAGGCAGGGTTCACTTGAACCCGGGAGGTGGAGGTTGCAATGAGCCGAGATCACACCATTGTACTCCAGCATGGGGACAAAGCCAGACCCCGTCTTGAAAGAAAAGAAAAGGAAGGAAAGAACGAAAGAAAGAAACAAAAGTCATCCAAACTGGAAAAGAAAACTAAAATTATCTGTTTACAGATGACATGATCTTATATGTGGAAACCCTGAAGACCTTCCCACACACACACAAAAAAACCTGTTACAACTAATAAACAACTTTAGAAAAGTAGCAGGGTATAAAATGAACACACAAAAATCAGTTGCATTTCTACAAACTAGCAATGACCAACCTGAAAAGAAAATTAAGAAAACAATCCCATTTACTATAGCACCAAAAAGAATAAAATATTTAGGCATAAACTGAACCAAGGAGGTAAAAGACTTGTGCGGGAAAAACTACAAAACATTGCTAAAAGAAATCAGACAAGATACAAATAAATGGAAAGGCATCCTGTGCTTGTGGAGTGGAAGACTTTAATACTGTGAATAAGTACATATTATCCAACGTGATCTACAGATTCAATGGCATTCTTATCAAAAACTCAATGGCAATTTTGCAGAAATAGGAAAATATAGAAAAAAATCATCCTAAGACTCATATGGAATCTCCAGGGAACCTGAACAGCCAAAACAATCTTGAAAAAGAACAAAGCTGTAGAACTCATTCTTCCTGATTTTGAACCATACTAGAAAGCAACGCTAATGAAGATGGTTGTAGGGGCCAGGCGCAGTGGCTCATGCCTGTAATCCCAGCACTTTGGGAGACCAAGGTGGGTGGATGACGAGGTCAGGAGTTCAAGGCCAGCCTGGCCAGCATGGTAAAACCCCGTCTCTACTAAAAATACAAAAGATTAGCTGGGCATGGTGGCACGTGCCTATAGTCCCAGCTACTTGGGAGGCTGAGGCAGGAGAATTGCTTGAACCCGGCAGGCAGAGGTTGCAGTGAGCTGAGATCATGCCAATGCACCCTAGCCTGGGTGACAGGTGACAGAGCAAGACTCTGTCTCAAACAAAAAAGATGGTTGTATTACTGACATAAAGACAGGTATACAGACTAATGGAACAGAGAGCCCAGAAATAAATCCTTGCATATATGGATGAATAATTTTGACAATGATGCCAAGACTACACAATGGAGAAAGGACAGAGCCTTCAGTAAACAGTATTGGAAAAAGTGGTTATCTACATGCAAAATAATGAATTGGACCTTATCTTTATACATATACAAAAAAAATTCAAAATGGGTTAAAGACCTAAACATAAGACCAAAAACTATACAACTCCTCGAAGAAAACATGGAGGAAAAGCTTCAGGACATTGGATTTGACAGTGATTTCTTGGACAAGCCACCAAGAACACAGACAACAAAAGCAAAAATAGACAAATGGGACCACACCAAACTTAAAAATTTCCGCACATCAAAGGAAACAATCAAAAAAGTGAAAACACAACCTATGGAACAGGAGGAAAATGTTTGCAACTGATAAAGGGTTAATATCCAGCGTATATAAGGAACTTGTACAACTCAACAACAACAAAAAACAAATAACCTGATTTTAAAATGGGCAACAGACTTTAATAAACATTTCTTGAAAAAAGATATACAAATAGCCAATAAGCATATGAAAAAATGTTCAACATTACTAATCATTAGAGAAATACAAATCAAAATCATAATGAAATATAATCTCACATCTGTTAGGATGGCCCTATGAAAAGAATAGAAAATAACAAGTGTTGGAGAGGATATGCAGAAATTGGAAATGTGTGCACTGTTGGCGGGAATGTAAAATGGTGCAGCCATTATGAAAAACAGTGTGGAGTTCGTGGTCTATATACATATATATATACATGTATATATATAAGTTATAGGTTTTCATCCACAGTTACTGGTTCATAACTTCCATCTCCCTTGTTACAGTCTTTTGTTATAATGTTGTGTGTGTTAGGCCTCAGGGGCAGGCCTCAAGGAACAGAATCTACCTCCTGCCTTCCTTTCACCTGCCCCAAGGCAGAACTCTAATATTACCCCATCTTTTTCATTATGGGTCTTAAGACCCTCCCCTGGGAGGGTCCAGTCTCATACCCTGGAGGAAGGAATGCTTCCATACAAACCCAAGAAGACTGGGTTCAAAGACCTCCAGATAGCTGAACCCGTGAAGGTTGCTGGAGGGTGGCATGCCCAGGGAGGGCATGGAAGCTCCATACCCCTTCCACCATACCTTGCCCTGCCAGTCTATTCATCTGTGTCCTTTATAATAAACTGGTGAATGTAAATGTTTCCCTGAGTTCTGTGAGCCACTCCAGCAAATTAACTTAACCCAAAGAGGAGGTTGTAGGAACCCCAAATTGAAACCAGTCAGTCAAGAAGTCCCAGAGACCCAGACTTGCAACTGGTATCTGAGGCTATAGGGGGAAGTCTTGTGGACTGAGCCCCCAACCTGCAGGAACTGACATTACCTTCAGGTAGACAGTGTCAGAACTGAATTGGAGGACACCTAGCTGGTGTCTGCTGCTTGATGTGTGGGGAAAAACCTTCACACATTTGGCCACAGTAGTCTTCTATGTTGATGATTATTGTGGTGTAAGACTAGAGGAAAATGGTTGGTGAGAGTTTTCCCAACACAGGGTTTCTTCACAAAATTAAAATTATGATTCCCATATAATCCAGCAAACCTACTTCTGCAGGGGTTTCAAAAGAATTCAAAAGCATTCAAAGTAGGATCCTAAAGAGATAACTGTAGCATTATTCACACTAGCCAAGAGGTAAAAGCAAAACAAATGTCAATTGACAGATGAATGGATATACCAAATGTGGTATATACATACAACAGAATATTATGTAGCCTTAAAAAAGGAAATCCTATCACATACTACAATAATAGATAAATCTTGAGGACATTATGGCAAGTGAAGTAAGCCAGTCACAAAAGAACAGACACTGTATGATTCCACTAATAAGAAGTATCTAAAGTAGACACAATTATAGAAACAGAAGGTAGAAAGGTGGTTGCCAAGGACTGGCTGGAAGGGAGAGGAGAATTAGCGTTTGTTGGGCATAGAGTTTCAGTGTTGAAAGATGAAAGTGTTCCAGAGATCTGTTGCATAACAATGTGAATATACTTAATACTACTAAACTGTATACTTAAAAATGGTTAGGATGATAAATTTAATGTTATGTGTTTTACTTTTATTTAAAACAATTTAAATACGTTCAGATAAATAAAAATGAGTTCAGTCAGGCGCGGTGGCTCATGCCTGTAATCCCAGCACTTTGAGAGGCCAAGGCGGGCGAATCACTTGACGCTAGGAGTTGGAGGCCAGCCTAGTCACAAAACCATGTCTCTACAAGAAAATATAAAAAATTAGCTGGGTGTGGTGGCACATGTCTGTAATCCCAGCTACTGGGGAGGCTGAGGCATGAGAATCGTTTGAACCTGGGAAGGTGAGGTTGCAGTGAGCTGAGAATGTGCCACTGCACTCCAGCCTGGGTGACAGGGTGAGACTAGGTCTCAAAAAAAAAAAAAAGTACACAACAGCACAACATATCAAAATGTACTGGATACAGCTAAAACAGTGCTAAGAAGTAAATTTATAGCTGGGAATGTTTATGTTAGGAAAGACAAAAGATCTTAAATCAATAGCCCTTACATTGTAAGACACTGAAAAAAGACGAGCAAACTAAAGCTAACGCAACAGGAAGGAAAGAAATAAAGATTAGAGTGGAAACTAATGAAATAGAAAAACAATAAATAAATAAATAAAATAAAATATTTATTTCTTAAAAAGGTAAACAAAATTGTCAAACCCTAAACTAGATTGACCAAGATAAGGGAGAGATGATTCAAGTCACTAAAATCAGAATTGAAATGGAAACATTACTGTGGGGCGCAGTGGCTCACACCTGAAATCCCAGCACTTTCGGAGACCGAGGTGTGTGCATCACGAGGTCAGGAGTTTGGGACCAGCCTGGCCAACATGGTGAAACCCCATTTCTACTAAAAATACAAAAATTAGGTAGGTATGGTGGTACCCACCTGTAGTCCCAACTACTCAGGAAGCTGAGGCAGAAGAATCACTTGAACCTGGGAGCCGAGATTGTGCCACTGCACTCCAGCCTGAGGGACAGAGTGAGACTGCATCTCGGAAAAAAAAACAAAAAACAAAAAAGAAATCCCCTGTTAGAAGAGAATAAAATAGAGTGAAAACAAGATGGCCAAATAGGAACAGCTCTGGTCTGCAGCTCCCAGCGTGATTGCCACAGAAGATAGGTGATTTCTGCATTTCCAACTAAGGTAACTGGTTCATCTCACTGGGACTGGTTGGACAGTGGGTACAGCCCATGGAGGGTGAGCTGAAGCAGGGCGGAGCATCGCCTCACCTGGGAAGTGCAAGGTTCAGGGGATTTCCCTTTCCCAGCCAAGGGAAACTGTGACAGAGTGTACCTGGAAAATCGGGACACTCCTGCCCTAATACTGCACTTTTCCAATGGTCTTAGCAAATGGCACACCAGGAGATTATACCCAGAGCCTGGCTCAGAGGGTCCTACGCCCACGGAGCCTTGCTCACTGCTAGAGCAGCAGTCCGAGATCGAACAGCGAGGTGGCAGCCTGGCTGGGGGAGGGGGTCCTCCATTGCTGAGGCTTGAGTAGGCAAACAAAGTGGCCCAGAAGCTCTTATTGGGTGGAGTCCACCACAGCTCAAGGAGGCCTGCCTGCCTTTGTAGACTCCACCTCTGGGGGGCAGGGCATAGCTGAACAAAAGGCAGCAGAAACTTCTGCAGACTTAAACGTCCCTGTCTGACAGCTCTGAAGAGAGCAGTGGTTCTCCCAGCACGGAGTTTGAGTCCTAAGAAGGGACAGACTGCCTCCTCAAGTGGGTCCCTGACCCCTGTGTAGCCTAACTGGGAGACACCTCCCAGTAGGGGCCGACTAACACCTCATACAGCCAGGTGCCCCTCTGAGACGAAGCTTCCAGAAGAAGGATCAGGCAGTAATATTTGCTGTTCTGCAATATCTGCTGTTCTGCAGCCTCTGCTGGTGATACCCAGGCAAACAGGGTCTGGAGTGGACCTCTAGCAAACTCCAACAGACCTGCAGCTCAGAGACCTGTTAGGAGGAAAACTAACAAACAGAAAGAAATAGCATCAACATCAACAACAAGGACATCCACACCAAAAGCCCATCTGTAGGTCACCATCATCAAAGACCAAAGGCAGATAAAACCACAAAGATGGAGAGAAACCAGAGCAGAAAAGCTGAAAATCCTAAACACCAGAACACCTCTTCTCCTCCAAAGGATCGCAGCTCCTCACCAGCAATGGAACAAAGCTGGATGGAGAATCACTTTGATGAATTGACAGAAGTAGGCTTCAGAAGGTCAGTAATAACAAACTTCTCCGAGCTAAAGGAGGCGGTTTGAACCCATCATAAGGAAGCTAAAAACCTTGAAAAAAGATTAGACAAATGGCTAACTAGAATAAACAGTGTAGAGAAGACCTCAAAGGACCTGATGGAGCTGAAAACCATGGCACGAGAACTACGTGACACATGTAAAAGCTTCAGTAGCCGATTCCATCAAGTGGAAGAAAGGGTATCAGTGATTGAAGATCAAATTAATGAAACGAAGCAAGAAGAGAATTTAGAGAAAAAAGGGTAAAAAGAAGCCGGGCGCGGTGGCTCACGCCTGTAATCCCAGCATTTTGGGAGGCCGAGGCGGGCGGATCACAACGTCAGGAGATCGAGACCATCCTGGCTAACACGGTGAAACCCCGTCTCTACTAAAAATACAAAACATTAGCTGGGCATGGTGGCGGGCGCCTGTAGTCCCAGCCACTCGGGAGGCTGAGGCAGGAGAATGGCGTGAACCCGGGAGGTGGAGCTTGCAGTGAGCCAAGATGGCACCACTGCCCTCCAGCCTCGGTGACACAGTGAGACTCTGTCTCAAAAAAAAATAAATAAATAAAAGAAAAAAGGCTAAAAAGAAACAAACAAAGCCTCCAAGAAATATGGGACTATGTGAAAAGACCAAATCTACGTCTGATTGGTGTACCTGACACTGACAGGGAGAATGGAACCAAGTTGGAAAACACTCTTCAGGATATTATCCAGGAGAACTTCCCCAACCTAGTAAGGCAGGCCAACATTCAAATTCAGGAAATACAGAGAACACCACAAAGATACTCCTCGAGAAAAACAATCCCAAGACACATAATTGTCAGATTCACCAAGGTTGAAATGAAGGAAAAAATGTTAAGGGCAGCCAGAGAGAAAGGTCGGGTTACCCGCAAAGGGAATCCCATCAGACTAACAGCAGATCTCTTGGCAGAAACTCTACAAGCCAGAAGAGAGTGGGGGCCAATATTTATCATTCTTAAAGAAAAGAATTTTCAACCTAGAATTTCATATCCAGCCAAACTAAGCTTCATAATTGAAGGAGAAATAAAATCCTTTGCAGACAAGCAAATGCTGAGAGATTTTGTCACCACCAGGCCTGCCTTACAAGAGCTCCTGAAGGAAGCGCTAAACATGGAAAGGAACAACTGGTACCAGCCACTGCAAAATCATGCCAAATTGTAAAGACCATCGATGCTAGGAAGAAACTGCATCAACTAATGGGCAAAATAACCAGCTAACATCATGACAGGATCAAATTCACACATAACAATATTAACCTTAAATGTAAATGGGCTAAATGCCCCAATTAAATTAGACACAGACTGGCAAATTGGATAAAGAGTCAAGACCCATCAAGTGTGCTGTATTCAGGAGACCAATCTCACATGCAGAGACGCACACAGGCTCAAAATAAAGGGATGGAGGAAGATCTACCAAGCAAATGTAAAGCAAAAAAAAAAGCAGCAGTTGCAATCCTAGTCTCTGATAAAACAGACTTTAAACCAACAAAGATCAACAAAGACAAAGAAGGCCATTACATAATGGTAAAGGGGTCAATTCAACAAGAAGAGCTAACTATCCTAAATATATATGCACCCAATACAGGAGCACCCAGATTCATAAAGCAAGTCCTTAGAGACCTACAAAGAGACTTAGACTCCCACACAATAATAATGGGAGACTTTAACACCCCACTGTCAATATTAGACAGATCAATGAGACAGAAGGTTAACAAGGATATTCAGGACTTGAACTCAGCTCTGGACCAAGCAGACCTAATAGACATCTACAGAACTCTCCACCCCAAATAAACAGAATATACATTCTTCTCAGCACCACATCACACTTATTCCAAAATTGACCACAAAGTTGGAAGTAAAGCACTCCTCAGCAAATGTAAAAGAACAGAAATCACAACAAACTGTCTCTCAGACCACAGTGCAATCAAATTAGAACTCAGGATTAAGAACCTCATTCAAAACTGCACAACTACATGGAAACTGAACAACTTACTCCTGAATGACTACTGGGTAAATAACAAAATGAAGGCAGAAATAAAGATGTTCTTTGAAACCAATGAGAACAAAGACACAACATACCAGAATCTCTGGGACGCATTTAAAGCAGTGTGTAGAGGGAAATTTATAGCACTAAATGCCCACAAGGGAAAGCAGGAAAGATCTAAAATCGACATCCTAACATCACAATGAAAAGAACTAGAGAAGCAAGAGCAAACACATTCAAAAGCTAGCAGAAGGCAAGAAATAACTAAGATCAGAGCAGAACTGAAGGAGACAGAAACACAAAAAACCATTCAAAAAATCAATGAATCCAGGCGCTGGCTTTTTTGAAAAGATCAACAAAATTGATACATCACCAGCAAGACTAATAAAGAAGAAAATAGAGACTAATCAAACAGATGCAATGAAAAATGATAAAGGGGATATCACCACCGATCCCACAGAAATGCAAACTACCATCAGAGAATACTATAAACACCTCTATGCAAATAAACTAGAAAATCTAGAAGAAATGGATAAATTCCTGGACACATACACTCTCCTAAGATTAAACTGGGAAGAAGTTGAATCCCTGAATAGACCAATAACAGGCTCTGAAATTGAGGCAATAATTAATAGCCTACCAACCAAAAAAAGTCCAGGACCAGACGGATTCACAGCAGAATTCTACCACAGGTACAAAGAGGAGCTAGTCCGATTTCTTCTGAAACTATTCCAAACAATAGAAAAAGAGGGACTCATCCCTAACTCATTTTATGAGGCAAGCATTATCCTGATACCAAAGCCTGGCAGAGACATGACAAAAAAAGAGAATTTTAGACCAATATCCCTGATGAACATCGATGCGAAAATCCTCAATAAAATACAGGCAAACCAAATCGAGCAGCACATCAAAAAGCTTATCCACCAAGAACAAGTTGGCTTCATCCCTGGGATACAAGGCTTGTTCAACATATGAAAATCAATAAATGTAATCCATCACATAAACAGAACCAAAGCCAAAAACCATGTGATTATCTCAATAGATGCAGAAAAGGCCTTCGACAAAATTCAACAGCCCTTCATGCTAAAAACTCTCAATAAACTAGGTATTGATGGGACGTATCTCAAAATAATAAGAGCTGTTTATGCCAAACCCACAGCCAATATCATATTGAATGGGCAAAAACTGGAAGCATTCCCTTTTAAAGCTGGCACAAGACAGGGATGCCCTCTCTCACCACTTCTATTCAACATAGTGTTGGAAGTTCTGGCCAGGGCAATCAGGCAAGAGAAACAAATAAAGGGTATTCAATTAGGAAAAGAGGAAGTCAAATTGTCCCTGCTTGCAGATGACATGATTGTATATTTAGAAAACCCCATCGTCTCAGTCCAAAATCTCCTTAAGCTGATAAGCAACTTCAGCAAAGTCTCAGGATACAAAATCAATGTGCAAAAATCACAAGCATTCCTATACATCAGTAACAGACAGAGAGCCAAATCATGAGGGAACTCCCATTCACAATTGCTACAAAGAGAATAAAATACCTAGGAATCCAACTTACAAGGGATGTGAAGGACCTCCTCAAGAAGAACTACAAACCACTGCTCAACAAAATAAAAGAGGACACAAACAAATGGAAGAACATTCCATGCTCATGGATAGGAAGAATCAATATCATGAAAATGGCCCTACTGCCCAAGGTAATTTATAGATTCAATGCCATCTCCCTCAAGCTACCAATGACTTTCTTCACAGAATTGGAAAAGACTACTTTAAAGTTCATATGGAACCAAAAAAGAGCCTGCATTGCCAAGACAATCCTAAGCCAAAAGAACAAAGCTGGAGGCATCACGCTACCTGACTTCAAACTATACTACGTGGTTACAGTAACCAAAACAGATGGTACTGGTACCAAAATAGATATATAGACCAATGGAACAGAATAGAGCCCTCAGAAATAATACCACACGTCTACAACCATTTGATCTTTGACAAACCTGACAAAAACAAGAAATGGGGAAAGGATTCCCTATTTAATAAATGGTGCTGAGAAAACTGGCTAGCCATATGTAGAAAGCTGAAACTGGATCCCTCCCTTAAACCTTATACAAAAATTAATTCAAGATGGATGAAAGACTTAAATGTTAGACCTAAAACCATAAAAACCCTAGAACAAAACCTAGGCAATACCATTCAGGACATAGGTATGGACAAGGACTTCATGACTAAAACACCAAAAGCAATGACAACAAAAGCCAAAATAAACAAATGGGATCTAATTAAACTAAAGAGCTTCTGCACAGCAAAAGAAACTACCATCAGAGTGAACAGGCAACCTACAGAATGGGAGTAAATTTTTGCAATCTACCCATCTGACAAAGGGCTAATATCCAGAATCTACAAAGAACTCAAACAAATTTACAAGAAAAAATCAAACAACCCCATCAAAAAGTGGGCAAAGGATATGAACAGACACTTCTCAAAAGAAGACATTTATGCAGCCAAAAGACACATGAAAAAATGCTCATCATCACTGGCCATCAGAGAAATGCAAATCAAAACCACAATGAGATACCATCTCACACCAGTTAGAATGGTGATCATTAAAAAGTCAGGAAACAACAGGTGCTGGAGAGGATGTGGAGAAATAGGAATGCTTTTACACTGTTGGTGGGACTGTAAACTAGTTCAGCCATCGTGGAAGACAGTGTGATAATTCCTCAAGGATCTAGAACTAGAAATACTATTTGACTCAGCAATCCCATTACTGGGTATATACCCAAAGGATTATAAATTATGCTACTATAAAGACACATGCACACATATGTTTATTGCGGCACTATTCACAATAGCAAAGACTTGGAACAACCCAAATATCCATCAATGATAGACTGGATTAGGAAAATGTGGCACATATACACCATGGAATACTATGCAGCCATAAAAAAGGATGAGTTCATGTCCTTTGTAGGGACATGGATGAAGCTGGAAACCATCATTCTCAGCAAACCATAACAAGGACAGAAAACAAAACACCTCATGTTCTCACTCATGGGGGGAATTGAACAATAAGAACACTTGGACACAGGAAGGGGAATGTCACACACCAGGGCCTGTCGTGGAGTGGGTTAGTGGGGAGGGATAGCATTAGGAGAAATACCTAATGTAAATAACAAGTTAATGGGTGCAGGATACCAACATGGCACGTGTATACATATGTAACAAACCTGCACATTGTGCACATGTACCCTAGAACTTAAAGTACAAAAAATAAGAGAATAAAATATTTCCCCCCTTAGACCTGAGCCCTGATAGTATTTATTTATATTTCTGACCCCCTACTACAGCTTCTTACTTTTGACAATTGTCCTTTTTTTTTTTTTGAGATTGAGGCTCGCTCTGTCACCCAGGCTGGATTGCAACAGCGCAATCTCAGCTCACTGCAACCTCCACCTCCCAGGTTCCAGTGATTATCCTGTCTCAGACTCTCAAGTAGCTGGGATTACAGGCGGCTGTCACTATGCCTGGCTAATTTTTTGTATTTTTAGTAGAGAAGGGGTTTTGCCATATTGGCCAGGCTGGTCTCAAACTCCTGACCTCAAGTGATCCTCCCACCTCGGCCTCCCAAAGTGCTGGGATTACAGGCATGAGCCACCATGCCCAGCCAATTGTCCTTTTTCTAACACAAAATACTTCCATGGTCTGAGCACCGTGAATGAGGCTGTCAAACTGGAAAAGTGAGTTAAGCTGAGATGCAGACCTGCCAAAGTCTCAACCAACACCATAGGGAGCACTGGATTACATATGGCCTATACTCCTGTGGTGCCAAAACGACAAATCTTTTTACTCCACTGCAATCAATTGTTGAAGGTGCATCATCCCAGGAAGGGTGTGCTTTTGGGAGAATCAACTCTCTGCACCTGAGATAAACCCTAGAACATTGGCAGCACTCCAAACAACTAAGGGAAATGAGTCCTTCTTTGAGAGGGAATGTAGGTGGCATTTCTCCATGTCTTATATATCTCAGTTATTATTTATTCAAATATTGCCTCTGCTCTATTGTCTTTCATCCATTAAAAATTCTAATTAAATATATATTAGATCTCCTTATCCTCTCTTCTATTAATACCATTATTTTGCATCTCCATACTTTGTTCTGAATAATTACTTTTTGTTTTTTTATGAGACAGAGTATCGCTCTGTTGCCCAGGCTGGAGTAAAGTGGCACAATCTCGGCTCACTGCAAGCTCCGCTTTCTGGGTTCATGCCATTTTCCTGCCTCAGACTCCCAAGTAGCTGGGACTACAGGTGCCTGCCACCACACCTGGCTAATTTTTTGTATTTTTAGTAGAGATGGGGTTTCACCGAGTTATCATGATGGTCTCGATCTCCTGACCTCGTGAACCACCTGCCTCAGCCTCCCAAAGTGCTGGGTTTACAGATGTGAGCCACCACGCCCAGCGTGTTCTGAATAATTTCTTCTAAATTATTTTCCACTTTACTAATACTCTTTTCAGTTGTGTCAAGTTTGTTGTTAATTTATCCTTCAAGTTCTTAATTTTGGTTATTATATATTTCAATTACAAATAAATTTTGGTTTTTATTTTTAAATCTACTTCGTCAGTTTTTATATTTTTCAATTTGCTCCTTAAATTTTTTAGATTAGCTTTTGTTTCTTTGAATATAGTAAGCAGTTTTGTTACACCCTTATCTGATAATTTCCAAATCTGAAGTTTAGTAGATTCTATTTCTGGTATCTGTCATTTCTTTTTCTTTCTTTCCTTTCTTTTCTCTTTTTCTTTTTTCTTTCTTTCTCTCTTTCTTTCTCTCTCTTTTCTTTCTTTTCTTTTTTTGAGTCTGTTGTTTCTGTTGATTTTCACGGAGACTTGTTTGTTCATGTGTATGCACGTTTGTATGCTGGGTTTTGTATTTGAAAAAAATATTTCTAGAAATAATGTGAAGTCTAGGTTAAAGTTTTATTCCTTCAGAGAGGATTTTCTTTTGCTTCTTCAGAAACCTAGATGTGCTGAAATACAGCCCACCTTAAACCAGTGTCAAGGTTTGGGGTCTTATGGGCTACCAGATGATGGTAAGCCAAGCTGCAGTTTATGGGTGAGCAGGTTTACTTACAGTTCCCCTTTACTCCTAGAAAGCAGCCTCAGGGGGAGTGCATGATCACCAATGTCGCCACTTTGGGCAGCCCTAGGTTTCTGTTTTTGTTCCTCTAACCCTATGAGGCTATCAGAAACATAGATAAGTCTCTTGGCTTCTACATCCAGATTACAAATGTTGCCAGGGCAAAAGGGGTCCCAACTGCTAGATTCACTTCTCTGGGTTTGTTTCTTTTACTGACACTCAGCAGGTAATTGATTACTAGTTTATTATATTTTTAATGCTTTAAGAAAGAATTATTTTTATATATCACCCGGCTTTATTGTTGTCTTTACCAGGGGGATTATCTGAATTACCTAGACATCCATTATCTGGAACAGAGTTCTGTCTCTCTTCACTTGTCTTAATTGAAAACTAGAGTCAGCACCCCTGAATATCAGCGGAATCCACTGCACCATAATCTGTGGATTATGCTGTTAAAGCAAACTAAATATGGCCTGAGAAAGATTCCATACTTTTATATTTGGGTCCTTGTGGAGGAATTGCAACCTAGTTTAATGGGTAGACAAGATTGAAAACCTAACTTAGGAATATGTGCCTATAACAATAGCTGAGTCTTGGCCAATCCCAGTGGCTGTAATTCAACCATTCATACACTGCTGAGTGTTCAAATTGTGTTCAAATAAGGCAAAAACTGAGCTGTAACCCATCCAGCCATTCTGTACCTCACTTCCAATTTCCATATGTCATTCCTTTTTTTTTTTTTTTTAAGAAGGAGTTTTGCTGTTTTGCTCTGTTGCCCAGGCTGGAGTGCAGTGGCTCGATCTCAGCTCACTGAAACCTCTGCCTCCCGGGTTCAAGCAATTCTCCTGGCTCAGCCTCCTGAGTAGCTGGGATTACAGGAGCATGCCACCACAGCCGGCTAATTTTTTTGTATTTTTAGTAGAGACGGGGTTTCACCATGTTGGTCAGGCTTGTCTTGAACTCCTGACCTCGTGAGCCACACACCTCGGCCTCCCAAAGTGCTGGGACTATAGGCGTGGGCCACTGCGCTCGGCCCTCCCTTTTTTTTTTTTTTTTTTTTTGGTCTATAAATCTTCTTCCACCATGTGACTGCGCTGAGTCTCTGTGAATCTGTTGTGATTCTGGGGGCTGCCCGATTCGCAAACCGTTCATTGCTCAATTAAACTCCTTTAAATTTAATTCAGCTGAATTTTTTCTTTCATCAATGCCCATATTCTGAAGGTGTGAGTGAGCCTATACCAACAAGGTCAGGCTCAAACCTAGCCATTTTCTTCCAAAGTGTTAACCACAGTATTAAATAGCACCAAGGTTTTTAAAATAACTGAGACATTTACACACAAATATATTTTTAAAAAATAGAGATGGCCGGGCACGGTGGCTCAGGCCTGTAATCCCAGCACTTGGTAGGCTGAGGCAGGCGGATCACCTGAGGTCGGGAGTTTGAGACAAGCCTGACCAACATGGAGAAACCCCGTCTCTACTAAAAATACAAAATTAGCCATGCATGGTGGTGCATGCCTGTAATCCCAGGTACTTGGGAGGCTGAGGCAGGAGTATTGCTTGAACCTGGGAGGCGGAGGTTGCAGTGAGCCGAGATCGCGACATTGCACTCCAGCCTGGGCAACAAGAGTGAAACTCCATCTCAAAAAAAAAAAAAAAAAGAGATATAATCCAGTACCTTATATCTGTGCTACACCCTCATACTGTAGACTTTGTATGACTGTACGATGCTCTTCTTTGCATGACTATACAAGGCCCTTCAAAACCCGAGAAAAGTGTTCCTATTCTCATGTCAAAACTTCCTAGCACTATTAATGGAATGAACTGTTGGGGGAAAATGAAATAAAAAAGCAATGTTATTTCCCCTAAATCTTTAGCAAGCACTTGTTGGATTAGTGAATCTTTGCCCTTGCGTGCAAGTCAGAGGATGGCAGCTCAAACTCACTAGAATCCATCTGGTTGTCTCCTCTTTTCTTTTGTCTCACATGCTTTGTTATGTGTCAGTTTAACTATACATATTTTAAAATAAGGACTTTCAGGGCAAAACATCTTACCATATACTATCACCGTAACTTGATGTAAACTTGAACTTAGTATACAGTAAGGCTGAGCTTATAAAATGTTCATTCAGGCTTACGTCAAGTTATGGTGGTAGAATATGGTAAATGAACTTATGTGATCTTATAAACTTAAAAACTGCTTATAAACTGCTCTAAAACTTTTTTTAAAAATTAAAAATAAAACAAATTCAAGGTATGCTCTTCTACTGGATATGCCATCTTAATTTTCTGTAACGGAAACTATCCTTTTGCCAACATCTACTCAGATGACTGGACTAATACAGTCATGCCTAGATCAACCTCAGGGATATGATCTGAAAAATTAGTCATTAGGGCATTTCATCACTGTGCAAACATTTTAGAGAGTATTTAACACAAACCTAGATGGTATAGCCTACTCCACACCTAGGTTATACGGTGTAGTCCATTGCTGCTGGGCTACAAACCACTACAGCATGTTACTGTATTGAATACTGTAGGGCAATGGAACACACAGATACGTATTTGTGTACTTAAACACAGGAAAGATACAGTAAAAATATGGTATTATAGTCTTATAAAACCATGGTCGTACATGTAGTCAGTCATTGACGGAAAGGTCTTTGTGTGAAGCACAAATGTAGTTCCAATTTGAGCATGACATCTTGTTGAAGGTTTAAGAATTAACCTGTATACTGAGAGTACATGTGGCTTCAGGTTGTTCACATACATATATTTTCAGGTTGTTCATACATATTATATGCTATTATAAGGTATTTTAAACTACCATGAACACCACAATAAAACATGGGAAAATGTTAATGATTTATTAGAGGAAAATAACTCAGTTATGAATATTGAAGCCCATTCTAAAGATAGAATTTTTGAAGCTAAAGAATATGCCCTAGATAACTACTATAGGTATTGTAAAAACAATTTGTTTTGAAAACCCAGAGGGCATATTCAAAAACAAGAATCTACCATACAGAAAGGTAGTCGCCATCTCAAAACTCTCATATATAGCAAAGGACTTTGGTCTTCCCAAGATAGCCATTTGGTTGTGCCTAAGTCATTCCCCAGAACTTTGATGTGCCTCGCACATGAAAGCACCCATAAATAATGGCAAGAACAAATTCACTACAAATTTTCAAAATTATTGTTAGAAAATTTTTCTCAAGAAGCTCTATGGGTAGATGAATCTTTTCTTCTCTGTGTTGATCATAACCCTCCAAAAAACTAAAACTATAGCAAGGCTTCAGTTTTCCACCTCCAGTACCATTTGCGCATTTACAAATGGATTTCATTCAGTTTTCCAAAATTTTAAAAAATTGAACGTTGTTTCAACAATATTTTCAAAAGTAAAATTGTGTAATTTGGGTTGGACTGAAGCTTTCTCTTCTAAAAGATTAATACTTTAAGTTAGTGTTGTCAAATAGGGCTTTTTACAATGATGAAAATGTTCTATATCTGTGCTGTCCACCTGGTAGGTATGACATGCCACGTGTGGCTATTGAGCATTGAAATGGGAATAGTACAACAGCTGTTACCAAAACCTAATAACAAGTATCATTCAAAGCTTGCAGATTTTGTTTTTCCAACTGGGAAATACAAAACATTTAGCACTGTTAATGGACAGAGAAATCCACTTCAGTAGTGAAATTCTTAAGATTCTCCCATTAAAACATACACTTTTTGTCCTTATTCTCAAAATCTGAGAAAGCAACACAAATTTATGGTCTTCTTTAAATCAACATTTGAAAACACCATCGCAAAATTACAACTGAGACAGTGAGAGATCTAACCTAACCAATTCCATCTTGCTTCTAACCTCCAAGCTGTCCTTGTTCATTCCTGGTCGTAGGCTGACCTAACTTTGGGAGGAACTTAGTTTATAGTTTAGCTTTGAAACAAAGACAATAGCAGCCCTTTCCAAAACAAACCCGCTTCCTGCCTGGGGACTAGACTGCTTTCGCAGGACTAACAAATTAGCCACAAGATTATAAATTATGGTTTAGGAGTCATGCAGCTGGAGGCTGCAAGATTCTAAACCTCCCCCAATTGCTCCTCAGGATAACATCACTATTGTAAAACCGAAGATCAGTTCTTGAGATATTTTGCAGCCCCTGTACTCTATGGATCAGCTAGCACCACCCATAACGATAAACTGGCTCATCTGGTCTTGTGGCCCCCATCCAGAAATTAAGCCAACACAAGAGGACAGCTTCGACTCCCTCTGATTTCATCTCCGACCCGACTAATCAACTTTCCCAACTCACTGGTCCCCTACCCACCAAATTATCCTTAAAAACTGCAATCCACTTGGGGAGACTGATTTGAATAATAATAAAACGGGTCTCCCACACAGCCGGCTTTGCATGCCCGTCTTGATAAATGGTTCTGTCTAGGCAGTGGGCAAGCTGAACTCATTGGGTGGTTACACATTTTCAAATTTTCAGAGCTTTCCTTAGACTAAAACTTTACCATCAGTCCTAAGGTAGTATGATCCATGCTACAAAACTCGCCATAAAACCTTACTATGTAACACTGCTATAGAAATCTATAAAGTGTTTCCTTCGTAGGAGGGCCGTAGGCAGCCATGGCGCCCAGCAGGAATGGCATGATGTTGAAGCCCCACTTCCACAAGGACTGGCAGCAGCGTGTGGCCACGTGGTTCAACCAGAAGATCCGCAGAATCAAGGCCCGGCAAGCCAAAGGGCGCTGCATCGCCCCGCGCCCGGAGAGTCGGGACCCATCTGGCCCATTGTGCTGTGCCCTGCTGTGCGTTATCACATCAAGGTGCGCGCCGGCAGAGGCTTCAGCCTGGAGCTCAGGGTGGCGGGCATTCACAAGAAGGTGACCCGGACCACTGGCATCTCTGTGGATCCGAGGAGGCAGAACAAGTCCACCGATTCCCTGCAGGCCAATGTGCAGCGTCTGAATGAGTATTGCTCCAAACTCATCCTCTTCCCCAGAAAGCCCTCGGCCCCCAAGAAGGGAGACAGTTCTGCTGAAGAACAGAAATTGGCCACCCAGCTGACAGGACCGGTCATGCCCATCAAGAATGTAAGGAGAAAGCCCGAGTCATCACTGAGAAGTAGAGGAATTGCAAAGCTTTCGCTAGTCTCCGCATGGCCGGTGCCAATGCTTGGCGGCAATGCTCGGCTCTTCGGCATATGGGCAAAAAGAGCCAAGGAAGCTGAAAAACAGGATGTGTGAAAGCAAAAATAAAGCCCTCTTGGGGACTTGTAATAAATACGTTTTAAAAGAAATCTATAAAGTTTAAACTGATTCTTCCTCTGACAGAGAAAGGCAGTTTCTTAACAGATAGAAAACACGTGAAACTGGTGGTCGGTCACTTCCCAATAAGATCTCAGGAGTGGGGAGAAATAACACAAGATTTAGGAACTATGCCAACGTTTACGACCCCAGGTCTAGAGGTCAAGCCGTGCACTTGGTCTCTCAAGTCGCCTGCTTGGCCCTCTTCCAAGTGTACTTTCCTTCATTAGTGCTCTAAATATTTTCAATAATTTTTCACCCCTGCTCTAAGACTTGCCTCGGTCTCTCCTTCGGCATTATGCTCCTCAATCGAATTCTTTCCTTCTCCTGAGGAGGCAAGAATTAATGTTGCTGCAGACTCCTTACAGATAACTGCCACCGCTAATATGTTGAGATGTTCACACATGCATGTGTGAGGCCCTTCAAAATGTGAGCTGCGGTTAGAATTGGGAAGAGAAGGGAGTGGGGATATGTATCTTTGTTTTCTGATTGCCTTCCATATCTTTTAAAACTAGCTAAGTGCTGCTTCAAGTCAGCCAGATACGAAGGCTTCAATTTATTTAACACAATAAAGAACTTCTATTTGGATCCAAAGCTTACATTATGCTTTAATAAAAGTTACCCTAATAAAGTCAGAAACAATAACAATGAGTCAAAGAAATGCATACAAAGTAGGCCAGGCGTGGTGGCTCACGCCTGGAATCCCGGCACTTTAGGAGGCAGAGGCGGGTGGATCGTGGATCACTTGAGTTCAGGAGTTCGAGACCAGCCTGGCCAACATGGTGAAACCCCCGTTTCCACTAAAAAAAAAAAAATTAGCCGGGCATGGTGGTGCATCATGCCTGTAATTCCAGCTACTCGGGAGGCTAAGGCAGGAGAATCACTTGCATCTGGGAGGCACAGCTTGCACGTGAACCGAGATGGTGCCATTGCACTCTGCACTCCAGCCTGGGAGACAGAGTGAGACTCTTGTCTCCAAAAAAAAAAAAAAAAAAAGCCTACAAAAAGCTTACAAAGTCTAAAATCGGACGAACAAGAGGACACCTGATGGGGGAAAAGAAAAGAGATTGCGATGGGAAGAGAGTGGTGGGGAAATCCGTGGGACAGTTTTCCTATTTTCTGGGTCTGTCCCTTGACCAAGGAACAGCTCAAAAAAGAAAGGATCTAAAATAAATTGTAAAAAATTACCTGTGGTTTCGCATTTGTTTTCTGTCTTTTTCTTTCTTGCTTGATCTTCGATAATACTGGGAAATGTAACCAATGTGATTGGGCTTGTTAATTTGGTGCCTTGCTTGTTTTTCGGGTTTTGGAATTCTGCCAGTCTGTGCTTCCGCGGCCTCTTTCATTTTGTCTTTCATCTCTTGACACAGCCACCCAGGGTGGTGTCAAAGCCTTAGAGCAGAAATGCATCAATATTGAAAGCAAAACGGAGCTTGTTTTCCTTGGTTTCCATGTGAATTTGAAGAATTGAGAGAGAATGAAAGTGCCACAAAAACAAAAGAAAAAAAATTGAGGCGAGTCGTGGACATGATAGACATGATTTTGCAAACAAGGCACATCTAGGAGAAAAGGCGGGAGAAAAATGAAGCTGGAGGTGCCGGGGATTGAACCCGGGGCCTCGTGCATGCTAAGCACGCGCTCTACCACTGAGCTACACCCCCCAACGCTCAACGTGGGCCAAAATATTTCTATGACCTGTTACTATTATCGGTCGTGCCAAGAAGCATATTTTGTCGAACTTAATTTTGAATTCGCTATACTGGATATTGTTTCCTGACTGCGCTGAGAGAAGGAAAACTGAATGTTATATCGAAAGTCCCGTGCTGGGCCTGGGATCTCCCGCTGCAGGTCACCCTCTCGGACGGCCGCTCGACAACCACCTATCGGGGTTTATAAGGGAGCCGTCCTGCCTGGCCGCCCCCCAGAGAAAGGTCTGTGATGGGGTGATTCTGCTTGGAAAGGTTGCCAGGAAACCGCGAGCATAACGCAGAAAGATAAAACGAAAGCCCTAAACGCCGCCGTGGGAATTTAAGTCCAAGGGGCAGAGAAAACAGGAGGGGAATTGCAGATCGGCTTGTCCCGGTCGTAGTTACTGCCCCTGCAGGTTCCCGCGCCCAGCCTCGGGATGGAGAACCTGGCACGCTACGTTTCGCGGGCTCTGAGACTCGGGTGGTGAGAGTCGCCGAGATGCGCACTGGGAAGAGAAAAGAGCCAGGACGCACCTGCATTTATGGCGCCATCGCCCGGGCGGAATCCTCCACGGAATAAAAAGTATGCAGAAGCAAGGCGATTTATGACTGCATAAACCCTCCGTGCTCCTGGAGAGTTCTTAGACCTCTCCACTCCTTGGCACAACTGACCTCTCCACTCTTCGACAAACTGGCAAGCGCTTGCCGCCGTTCGCCAAACCTTGGTACGACAGTCAATCCAGAAATGAGCTTCTGGAACAAATCCTAAATCCTTTTTTGTCTGTCTTCTTCTGATTCGCTCTCATCCTTAAGGGACCTGTTTCTCCTTCAAAACCTGAAAACATCTAACCTATAGTACCAACCCCAGATCCAGGCCTGGCCTTCCTGACCAGTCAAAGCCAGTTGGACTGTGCGCCTAGAAGTGGACAGACATGCGAAATGCCATACTGTATACGTACAATGCATAGGCCAAAGGCGACCCTATGACCCAGAGATTAGAAAGACTCGGACGTCTTTTGACTGGGTTCAGGTCACACTACTCCCAAAATACGACACCTCGGCATTTGAGAAAACAGCAGAAGCAGAAACGTTTTTCTCTGGGCCCTTGTTCCGTGAAGCGGGCCATGAAAGCTACCTGATCTTCCAATTAAAGTAGGTGATAAGACCGTCAATTCAGAGGGGAGAAAATGTACTTGGAGGAAATAAACGAAGACACAGAGATGCCAAAGAGAACCTGAATAAACAGGCTTTGCTAAGTTCACCCCAGTTTATAACCATTAGATCATACCCCCTTTTATCCAATTATACTGCTATGGGACTATCCACTTCATCAAACCTAAGCATAAAAATATAGGAAGTCCTCACTTATTGTCAGTTGGTTTTTGGAAACTATTACTTTAAGCAAAATAAAACTAATTCTACCATAGACTAGACTAATTGATTTAAGAGTTAATTTTCTTGGCAAATGTCTGATCACAAAAACACCAAATTTCTAAATAAGGACTCCAAACACTTCTAACACTAAATATTGAAAAAAATATGAGCTGCACCTCAAGTTAAGATCAGCAAAAACGACATGATTGATTTATTTTTGGTGAATCAGTGACTGCAATTCTAGTGGTGGCAGGTTATATCAAGGAATAAATGTTTGTGAAATAGCAGTTGTAAGGAGCAACTCCTACTAACACACAATTCGTAAAACATTGTGTCCGGAATTGGCGGGTTCTTGATCTCACTGATTTCAAGAAAGCCACAAGTCCTCCGGATGAGTGTTACAATCGTTAGATGCGGTGTAGCCAGAGTTCATTCCCTCTGACGTTCGGATGTGTTATAGAGTTTCTTCCTTCTGGTGGTTTGGTCTTCTACTGGCTCAGGAGTGAAACTGCAAACCTTGGCAGTCAGTGTTACATCTTCTAAGGCGGCGCCTCCGGAGTTGTTTGTTCTTGCCCGAGAATTCATGTTTTTCCTAACTTCAAAAGATAAGCTGCAGACCATCAACAAATTACAGCTCATAAACGTAGTGTAAACCCAAAGAACAATCAAGATCCATCGCAGAGAGCGAAAAATCACTTCCGCACCGTGGGAAAAAGCCCGAACACGTTGTCGCAGTTGGTTCCGGCAGCCTGCTTTTATTATCTTGTCTGGCCCCACCCACATCCTGCTGATTGGTCCATTTTACAGAGAACTGACTGGTCTGTTTTACAGAGAGCTGATTGGTCCATCTTCACAGAGTGCTCATTGGCGCGTTTACAATCCCTGAGCTAGACACAAAAGTTCTCCAAGTCCCCACCAGAGTAGCTAGATACAGAGTGTCCATTAGTGAATTCACAAACCCTGAGCTAGACACAGGGTGCTGATTGGTGTGTTTACAAACCTTGAGCTAGATACAGAGTGCCGATTGGTGTATTTACAATCCCTTCGCTAGACATAAAGGTTCTCCAAGTCCCCACCAGAGTAGCTAAATACAGAGTGTCCATTGGTGCATTCACAAACCCTGAGCTAGACACAGGGTGCCGATTGGTGTGTTTACAAACCTTGAGCTAGATACAGAGTGCCGATTGGTGTATTTATAATCCCTTAGGTAGACGTAAACGTTCTCCAAGTCCCTACCAGACTCAGGAGCCCAGCTGGCTTCACCCAGTGGATTTTCCACCGGTGCCGCAGGTGGAGCTGCCTGCCAGTCCCGTGCTTTGCGCCCGCACTTCTCAGCCGTTGGGTGGCCGATGGGATTGGGCGCCGTGGAGCAGGGGGCGGCGCTCGTCGGGGAGGCTCGGGCCGCGCAGGAGCCCATGGCGGGGAGGGGCGTCTCAGGCATGGCGGGCTGTAGGTCCCGAGCCTTACCCCGCGGGGAGACAGCTAAGGCCCGGCGAGAAGTCGAGAACAGCAGCTGCTGGCACAGGTGCTAAGCCTCTTACTGCTCGGGGCTTGCGGATTAGGGGGCCGCTCCGAGTGCG
The DNA here is from genome assembly GCF_000001405.40 of Homo sapiens. Taxonomy (NCBI): domain Eukaryota; kingdom Metazoa; phylum Chordata; class Mammalia; order Primates; family Hominidae; genus Homo; species Homo sapiens. The sequence continues at coordinate 132,322 of NT_167244.2, forward strand.
GAGCCCGCCGAGCCCACGCCCACCCGGAACTCGCGCTGGGCCCGCAAGCGCCGCGCGCAGCCTCGGTTCCCGCCTGCGCTTCTCCCTCCACACATCCCTGCAAGCTGAGGGAGCCGGCTCCGGCCTTGGCCAGCCCAGCAAGGGGCTCCCACAGTGCAGCGGCGGGCTGAAGTTCTCCTCAAGCGCGGCCAGAGTGGGCGCCAAGGCCGAGGAGGCGCCTAGAGCAAGCGAAGGCTGTGAGGGCTGCCAGCAAGCTGTCACCTCTCAGTATGGCGGCTGGCTGTTTTAGCACCATGTCGTTTATTGTCATGCATTTGTAGGATTATGAAATGCTTCCTGAATTTTGCTTTTACAGTAACTTGTATTCATTCATGCATTTTTCAACCTGCTCACTCCAGTTCAAGGTCTTTGGTGGCTGAAGCCTAATTCAACTCCTCATAGTGTCAGGAGGGAACCCACCGTGGACAGGTGGCCATTCCATCACAGGGCGGGCTCATACACACACACACACACTCACACATATGCTCGCGTGCTCTTTCACTCAGACTGATGACGCTAGACTCAGACTAGATATGCTAATGAACCTAATGTGCACATTTTTGGGATGTGGGAGGAAACTCAGACAGTGGCTTCCAGGAGAAATAGACTTTTTTCTCATCAACATTATAACAAAATGATGTTGAATGAAACAACGTTATTCAAGGGTCTGCTGTACGCAGATTTTCCTATTTCTTTAGGTCTTCATTTTTGAAGGCTCTTGTGTCAATAAAATTTGTTTGATTTGTATGCTTTTCCTTTTTTTTTTTTTTTTTTTTTGTTGTTGAGACAGAATTTCACTTTTGTTGCCCAGGCTAGAGTGTAATGGCGCGATCTTGGCTCACCACAACCTCCGCCTCCCGGGTTCAAGCGATTCTTCTGCTTCAGCCTCCCGAGTAGCTGGGATTACAGGCGTGTGCCACTATGCCCAGCTAATTTCGTATTTTTAGTGGAAATGGGGGTTTCTCCATGTTGGCCAGGCTGGTCTCAAACTCCTGACCTCAGGTGATCCACCAGCTTCAGCCCCCCAAAGTGCTGGGATTACAGGCATGAGCCACCCCACCCGGCCTGCTTTTCCCTTGTTAATCTATCTTTTATTATGAAGTGTCAGCCATGAACCTGGCACTGGGTGGGAAAAGATGTTTTTCTGCCCTAGACCTTCCTATAAGTGCTTTTGGGACAACACTGCAGGAGTCCCCAAAGGTGAAAATTTACCTGCGGGAGTTAATAAAAACAGGAATCCCCAGGCCTTACCCCAGAGACTGAGATGCTGAGTGCTTTCAGAGTCTCCAGAAAAGGGCCCAGGAATTATTATGGGGTGACAGATGTCACAGCTAGATCGTCCTCACATCTATGGAATATTGTGTTATTTAATATTTCCCAGTTGAATTTGATATTCAGGCAAGTTTGAAAACCACTGGGCCTGAAAATCTAGCCACAACAGAAACTGAAACTAGGATCTGGGGAAAGTTAACAAGGGGAGGAGAAAGATTGGAAAGTATTACAAGAAAAACTTGGGATTGTAACGTTCCCCCCAAACTGGGAAGGTCCCGGAAGACCAAAGACAGTCCAGCTTAATAAGCAGGTGAGTTTAGTAGGACTTAGATACAGGGTACTCCTGGGTGCAGCAGGATAGCTCTAGAGATCCATGCCGCCTCCTGTCTTTAAACTGTTTCTAAGTTAATTTTCTGGCTTTTTGCCTACTGTGTTTGAGCAATGAGACTGTTTTTCTTGGTAGGTTCTCAGATACTCTCTGGGATGTTTGTGTTCTCAAGGACACCTGCTCCTCTGCTGGGCATCGTGGCCTTGGCTCACCACTGGGCCTTCAGGGTTCAGGCAGTAGACATACACTCTTAAGTGACATGGTGGGTGATCTGTCATGCTGCAATCCACCCTGCCTCCCATTTCTTACATTCTTTCTGCCAATCTTGTGTGAGACTCCTTGAGTAGGGTGGAAGGAAAGAACTATACAGGTCTATAACGTCTAGCCATGGCTTGCGCATACAGGTCACATCTACAGTATACGTAGGAGCACAAAAAGCAGAAGTTAACTACAATTATAATGTCTATTAGCAAAACCTAATTCCCATGACTAGAGAAGCTGTGTAACCAATTTGAGAATGAGTAAAAGAAACCTAATTAGGTTATATCATGGATCTGAGTTGACAAATGGTTTAAAGTACCTCTGACATTACTCTCTTCATCAGGGAAATAGGTGCAACAGTTAGCACCTAGAAAGGCACATTTTGGGTCTTTGTCACGTTGGTGATTGAGCCTCTAGGTGGAGGCAATCCTTAGTGAGCCCGGGTTGCATTATCAGTGCTATTGTACAAGTCACTCCAGTTCTGTCAGGAGAAAGGCAGAGTATTTTAAGGCATATCATTATTATTTTATAGGGAGAGGTATCTGACTGGTTGTTGACTGCTTCTGGAGTTGCAGCTCAGTCTAGAAAGACATTACCAGCTGCCATGAGTAGCAGGAACAACCTATGGGTATAAACACAGGTGGTTAGTAGGAACTCTCACAGGCGTATTCACTCCTTGCAACATTTTTTTTTTTAATTTTTTTGAGACAGAGTCTTGCTCTGTTGCCCAGGCTGGAGTGCAGTGGCACGATCTCGGCTCACTGCAAGTTCCGCCTCCTGGGTTCACGCCATTCTCCTGCCTCAGCTTCCTGAGTAGCTGGGACTACAGGCGCCCGCCACCACATCTGGCTAATTTTTTGTATTTTTAGTGGAGACGGGGTTTCACCGTGTTAGCCAGGATGGTCTCGATCTCCTGGCCTCATACTCCACCCGCCTTGGCCTCCCAAAGTGTTGGGATTACAGGCGTGAGCCACCGCGCCTGGCCACACCTTGCAACATTATTATCATTGTGTTTTCTCCCACTGGCACTATTAGGGATGCCACTGTGGGCTTCAGGCCTGGATTACAAAACCACCCATGTCTTCTTTTCCTAGAAGCAGCCACAATAGCCAATTGATAAGTTTCCAGCCTTGCCCATGCTATCCATACTATAATTATTCCAGCAGGTATGGGTGCTGCCATCTGTTGATAAAGTAAGTCTCTCGGAACTCTATCAAGGAGCACAGCTGGGACCACTGCCCCTATGGCAGTTATCATGGCACCACCCTCCAGTACTATAAAACTAATCCAGTATGGAGGCATATTCCAGCTCAGCTTCAGGTCCCTGTAGCCATCACTGCTTGGCAGATCCACTGGTGTTCTCAGGAGCATGTCTCACCATCTGCCTCAGGAGCATGGCTCAGTGTCTTTGAGGTAACCCCGAGAGTTTGTGGGACATGTCTTACAGGCCTTGCCAACCATTTATAAGGAGTGATGCCATGTGTGCTAGTGGGTGACTCATTTAAAGTTTGTATGGCTTTATGGAGATTCTTAGTCCAGGAACTTAAAGAGCCAACCTGAAACAGTGCACACATCTGGGTCTTTAACAGGCCATTATTTCTTTCTGTAAGTCCTGCCTCTGTTGGATTGTGGTGGTAAGTGGAACCTCCAGTCTATATTTTCTTCTTTTTTATTTTGAGACAGAGTCTCGCTCTGTTGCCCAGGCTGGAATGCAATGGTGCGATCTCGGCTCACTGCAACCTCCGCCTCCCGGATTAAAGCAATTCTCCCACCTCAGTCTCCCAAGTAGCTGGGACTACACGCATGCGCCACCACGCCTGGCTAATTTTTGTATTTTTAGTAGAGATGGGGTTTCACCATGTTGGCCAGACTGCTCTCAAACTCCTGACCTCAAGTGATCTGCCTGTCTCAGCCTCCCAAAGTGCTGGGATTACAGGCATGACCCACCGCACCTGGTCCAGTCTATATTTTCTTCTGATGCCCAGTGTTGGATATCTTTGCTATGCCCATCAATGTACCAGGGCCTAGCAGATATTGGCGGGGTACCCTTATATATGGTGGTTGGCCTGATGGGTGGCTCCACTGCCATGTTGGCTCCCTCCCATAACTGAGACCAAAACCCTATAGGTACCATTCCCATTAGTTGCTTTTGCCCCAAACCTAAATTCATCCCTGTGACATCTCTGGTGATTACTAATACAGCAGTAGAGTCTGTATGCTTGGGCTTGTTTCACCAATATTTTTGTTTTGTCAAATGCCTCTTGTTCTATTTATGTCATCTCATTTTTTACCTGTCTTTATTAGGGTGTATAATGGGTGGAGTATTTGTGCCAGATGAGGAATGAATATCCTCCAGTAGCCCAGTAAACCTAGGAAAACCTGGAGTTGCTCTACTGTCTGGAGAGTAGACTACTATGCTATCTTATCAATGACGGCTTTGGGTATGTTTCACATCTTACCCAACCAGGTAACTCTCAGGAATTTGACAGGCATGCCAAGCCTCTGTATATTTTTGGGGTTGATTTTCTATCCCTCCTTCAGGCTGTCCAAAACAGTTTGTAGGATAGTCTCCAAATCTGTAAGAGACTCTAGGGTAGCATGTTATCATTAATATAGTGAAACAGGGAGACCAAGGCAGGCAAAGAGATTATAGACAGCTCCTGTGTAACCATACTGTGAGAGATGGCGGGGCTTTGCAGATGCCCCTGTGGTGACACCTGGAAAGTCCATTCTTGGTCCTCCTAAGTGTAGACCAACTGGTCTTGTGAATCTTCAGCTGAAAGAATACTGGAAAAGGTATTAATGCAGTCAGTCACAGAATGGATACTTCCCAGCTTCGGTACTGCTTGCTCTAGCAGTTGAGCAATATTGGATACAGCTGCATGTACAGGGCGTACCACTTTGTTCAGCTAGCGGTAATCCACCATCATCTTCCAGGCATCACCTGGCTTCTTCACAGGCCAAACAAGGCTGCTGTAGGGGCTCTGGGCCAGTCTGACTATTTGTACCTTATGTACTTTCTGGATTGTTTGGGTGATTTCAGAGTGCCCCCCCAATAGCAGGAAGTATTGTTTCATGTTCATTACCTGCAAGGATACAGGTGCATATTTGGCCTATCCCCTTTTTGCTTTCTCTGTGGACCTGATCGTTATTTTTATCCAGCTCACTGAGGTCTGCCAATGCTTCCCCCCATCACAGATTTCATTTCCCACTAAGAGGCTCAGAAGTGTTGTCTGAAATTGGTGGGTTCTATGGTCTCACTGACTTCAACAATGAAACCGCAAACCCTCACAGAGAGTGTCACAGCTCTAAAGTTCGCGGGCGTGGAGTCTGTCCCTTCTGATGTTCAGATGTGTCCGCAGTTTCTTTTTTCTGGTGGGGTCGTGGTCTTGCTAGCTCAGGAGTGAAGCTGCAAACCTTTGCAGTGAGTGTTATACCTCATAAAAACAGCGTGGACCCAAAGAATGACCAGTTGGAAAATTTATTGCGCATAGTGAAAAAAACAACGCTTTCACAGTGCAGAAGAGACAACCCAGCGGGTTGCTAATGCTGGTTCGGGCAGCCTGCTTTTATTCTTTTATCTGGCCCCACCCACATCCTGCTGATTGGTAGAGCCGAGTGGCCTGTTTTGTCAGGGCGCTGACTGGTGCGTTTACAATCCCTGGGCTAGATACAAAGGTTCTCCTCGTCCCCATTAGATTAGTTAGATACAGAGTTTCCACATACAGGTTCTCCAAGGCCCCACCAGAGCAGCTAGATACAGAGTGTCGATTGGTGCACTCACAAACCTTGAGCTAAACACAGGGTGCTGATTGGTGTGTTTACAATCCCTGAGCTAGATAAAAAGACTCTCCACGTCCCCACCAGACTCAGGAGCCCAGCTGGCTTCACCTAGTGGATTCCGCACTGGGGCTGCAGGTGGAGCTGCCTGCCAGTCCTGCGCCCTGCACTCGCATTCCTCAGCCCTTAGGTGGTCGATGGGACTGGGTGCCGTGGAGCAGGGGGTGGCGCTCGTCCGGGAGGCTCGGGCCGCACAGGAGCCCACGGAGGGGGGTGGGAGGCTCAGGCATGGCGGGCTGCAGGTCCCGAGCCCTGCCCCGTGGGAAGGCAGCCAAGGCCCGGCGAGAAATCGAGCACAGCGCCGGTGGGCCGGCACTGCTGGGGGACCCAGTACACCCTTCGCAGCCACTGGCCCGGGTGCTAAGTCCCCCATTGCCCGGGGCCAGCAGGGCTGGCTGGCTGCTCCGAGTGCGGGGCCCACCAAGCCCACGCCCACCCGGAACTCCAGCTGGCCCGCAAGTGCGGCACACAGCCCTGGTTCCCGCTCGTGTCTCTCCCTCCACACCTCCCTGCAAGCTGAAGGAGTGGGCTCCGGCCTTGGCCAGCCCAGAAAGGGGCTCCCACAGTGCAGTGGGGGACTGAAGGGCTCCTCAAATGCCACCAAAGTGGGAGCCCAGGCAGCGGAGGTGCTGAGAGCAAGCGAGGGCTCTGAGGACTGCCAGCACGCTGTCACCTCAGTGTGACCAATGCCCTATATTATAAATGCCATTTTTTGAATTGGAAATGATCCAGACATTCAACAAGTACTTAAAACAATTTTAAGGTTTTAAACTACACAAAAAGTTCACCCGTAAGCATTTATCTCTTACATTTACTCAATTTATTCATTTTTAGCAGTTTACCTAGATTACTCATTGGAACGAAGACATTAGACAAAGTTACTCATCATTCTGAATTATTTTTTCTGTTAAACTGTGAATGTCAGGTGTTCACCTAGGCAAGAACTTTAAAGTTAAACACATGGGCATTTTTGCCAATAACTCAGGAATTTTAGCTGTTTTCACTGACCTAACAATATTAAATTAGTCATACTTACCAAAAAATCACACAAATAAAGATCATTCTGTTTTTGGCTGGGTTTACAGACTTATGATCTTTAGGTCAAACCCTGACACCTTAAAATATCTAGCAGAGGCAAATGTAAAACTAATTGGTAAACTGAGACAAAAACGTATGCTGACAATTCAAGGACATTTCTATTTTTATTTTACCAATAATTTTAAAGCCAGATTATTTATTAAAGATTACTAAATTCATATGAACTTGAAAAGCATTTGGACTTTATGAGTACTCATTTATGTATAAGCCATTTGGTAGTATGCTAGGCATAACACATAATATATATACATACACATAAACACATTTAAGCATGTATCTATACACACAAACCAATATCCAACAGCTTTTACTTGGAACTCTAGCCATGAGACAACATCATAAATTTACTATTTTACAAAAGATAGTTGGATCAGGCCGGGTGCAGTGGCTCAAACCTGTAATCCCAGCACTTTGGGAGGCCGAGGCAGGAGGATCACCTGAGTTCAGGAGTTGGAGACCAGGCTGGCTAACATGGTGAAACCCCGTTTCTACTAAAAATACAAAAAAGTAGCTGGGAGTGGTGGCGCACCCCTGTAATCCCAGCTTCTCAAGAGGCTCAGGCAGGAGAATCACTTGAACTTGGGAGATGGAGGTTGCACTGAGCCGAGATCTCACCGTTGCACTCCAGCTTGGGCAACAAGAGTGAAACTCCATCTCAAAAAAAAAAAAAAGGAAAAAAAAAAAAGAAAAGCTAGATCCAAATTATTTTTCACAAAATTGAGACCTGTCCACAAGACTAGACTTTGTTTGCACTGATAGGTAATCCAATAAAGACTGTGGAACACAATTTTGGGTAAAGCAGTTTCTATACCAGTTTGATTTTTAAAATCCTCATTTATCCACATCCCCTTTTTTCTGTGCTTCAAATGAGTTTCATTGTTTACATTTTAGTAAGAACTGGCTGTACTGTAGAGAAAAGTAAAATCTCCGAGTGGCTTTGAATTAGTGAGTTTTATTTCAACACCAATAGCTTAATAATGGCATATTTGAGTGTTGGGGTGATCAGACCCAACACCAGGTCGTGGGGGCGACAAAGTCCTGCAGAGTCACAGAAATGAGAAAAAGACAGTTTGAGAGAGAAAGTGGGACTAAGTGGCCATCACGAGTGTGGAGGCTGCGAAGGCCCTGAGCTCTGGGAGCCCACGCTATTTATTGGTGCTCAAACAAACAGGTAGTGAAGATGTGGGGGTTGAAAGGAAATGGTGTATCAAGTGAAAGAGAAACATATGGCTACTTTAGATAATGGGAGTGCTAAAAGCAAGGAGCCAGCAAGTCTAGCAGACATACAAGTCCTGTTGTCTCCCAACACTCAGCTTCTCTCCCAACATTCGAGGCTGGGCGCAGTGGCTCACACCTGTAATCTCAGCACTTTGGGAGGCCGAGGTGGGTGGATCACAAGGTCAGGAGTTCGAGACCAGCCTGGCCAATATGGTGAAACCCCATCTCTACTAAAAATACCTGGGCGTGGTGGTGGGTTCCTGTAATCCCAGCTACTCGGGAGGCTGAGGCAGGAAAAGAGCTTGAACCCGGGAGGCGGAGGCTGTAGTGAGCTGCACTCCAGCCTGGGTGACAGAGTGAGAATCTGTCTCTAAATAAATAAATAGCATATTCAAAATAAGCAGAAACAAAAATAAAGAGAGAAATAGCTTTAGGAGACTCTACTTAACTCTATAGTTGCAGCTTAACCATTTAAAATCCGCATTTTTTTTGTTGTAATTTCCCCATCAGTTAAAAAATGTGCACAAGAAAGGGCCATACATAATAGGTAACCAGCTGGAGTCCTAAAAAAGCTGGCATGCTTTGAACTTCTGCAGGTGTTTCTATCCTTTCTCTGTTTCCTGCTCTAATGATTTCTCAGGGGCCAGCCTTATTGCAACAATAGCACATTTGCTATCCTTATCCTACTTTGATATCTTAGCCTCTTGCAATATGCGCTTAGTCCCCGCCACATTTTCTGAATATCCCTATACTTCCTCAGCAGTCCACAAAGGTTGAGCGATGGAGCAATTCCACCCCACCTGCATGTTGCCGACCACCCCAGGATTCCCCCTGCAGATGCCCTTTCCTGACTCATTGTTTGGTCTCTCAGATCCTGTTTGTGATGCCAATTGTTATGAGCAAAACTTGGGACTGTAACGTCCCCCTAAATTGGGAAGCAGCCAACAGACCAAAGAATGACTTGGACACGTACAGCTTGACAAGTAAGATGAATTTATTAGGACTTACACACAGGGTACTCCTGGATGTAGCAGGACAGCTCCAGAGATCCATGCAGCCTCCTGTCTCTAAATGGCTTTTTTTTTTTTTTTTTTTTACCAAGTCTCGCTCTGTCTCCTAGGCTCGAGTATAGTGCTGCCATCTCGGCTCACTGCAGCCTCCGCCTCCTGGGTTCAAGTGATTCTCCTGCCTCAGCCTCCCGGGTAGCTGGGATTACAGGCACCCGCCACCCCATCCTGCTAATATTTGTATTTTTAGAAGAGACTGGGTTTCACTATGTTGGCCAGGCTGGTCTCGAACTCCTGGGCTCAAGCAATCCACCCACCTCGGCCTCCCAGAGTGTGGGATTACAGGCATGTGCCACCGCACCCAGCCTCTAAACTGCTTTTAAGCTTATTTTCTGGCTATTTGTCTACTGTGTTTGAGTGATGAGACTGTTTTTCTTAGTAGGTTCCTAGATACTCTCCCGGATGTTTGGGTTCTTAGGGACACCTACTCTTTGGCTGGGCACCATGGCCTTGGCTCACCACCTGGCTTTCAGGATTCAGGCAGTGGACATACATCCTTACCTAATCTGGTGGGGGATTCATCACACTACGGAAGGGAAAAGAGGAAACCCATGAGGTGAGAGGCAGCGTGCTGGGTAGTGGAGCCTCAAGGATGCTCAGGATTTGGATGCTCAGATCTGGATGTGTCCCAGGTCCCCAATGCATCTGTGCTTCCTCCAGGTACTAGAGAAGAATGAATGCCCCTTACTCTAAAGTGAGGCAACAGAAGGTGTCAATCCTTCGAGTTCAGTTGTTCACAAAGCATAGGTCCATCAGAATCATCTGGATGACTTGTTGAAACATATTGGAACATCCTTTGGGAATTTCTGATTTAGTGGACCTGGGGTAGGGCCCAAGAATTTGCAGTTCTAACAGGTTTCCAGATTATACTGATGGTGATCCATGGACCAAATTCCAGAACCTCTTACAAGAGACCCAGCTTGTCTTGTCTGAGACTTTTGTGACTCACTGAGTCTCTGAATGGGCTCAGCATTTTCTCAGGTGCATCTCTTAAACTGTATGTTTGAAGTTCGTTAGTCACATACAGCTGCTCTTTGAAACTGTCATAAGGAAGCCAACCCATCTGGTTGTCAGAGAGCAGTGTTAAATGCTCACACAAGAGGCAAGGCTGCATAGGGTTGGGCAGCTCCAGTTGCAGAAGGAAACACCAATTTAGCATGTTTGCTTTCTTGCTTTTTTTGCCTGCTTATTTTTAGCATATCTAGTTGAGAATCCAAAACAACAACAAAAAAAGACAAGACAGACCACAGACAAATGTGTACACTTTACAAGATTCTCAAGACAACAACAGCAACAAAGTTTCTGAGTTTATGAATCTAAGTAGCATTTTACTCCCAGGATCTGAAGTTCAAGTTCTGATCCCTGTGCACCCAAATTACGTCTTTCTCCTCCAGGTAGAAAGCTATCAAAATCCAGCTTTTTCCTGGGCACGCTCTTTATAGCATATGCAGCTGACTCTTCTGCTACTGGCACACTGCTATTGGATAAAAAGAAGTCTTGGCTGGGCACAGTGGCTCACACCTGTAATCCCAGCATTTTGGGAGACCAAGGCAGGTGGATCTCCTGAGGTCAGGAGTTGGAGACCAGCCTGGCCAACATGGTGAAACCCTGTCTCTACTAAAAATACAAAAATTAGCCTCGTGTGGTGTGGCAGGCGCCTGTAATCCCAGCTGCTAGGGAGGCTGAGGCAGGAGAATCGCTTGAACCTGGGAGATGGAGGTTGCTGTGAGCCGAGATTGCACCATTGCACTCCAGCCTCAGCGATAAGAGCTAGACTCCAAAGAGCGAAACTCCGTCTTTAAAAAAAAAAAAAAAAAAAAAAAAAGTCTCAATCGCAGAACCGTGAAAAAGCTAAAGTTGTTATACAATTGGAGAGCGAATGATTCAACATTTTGTTAATCATTGACCTTATTCTCTGTCCTACTCTAAGGAGGGCATAATGTGTGTCTCCTGCAATCGGTCATAGGAATAATGCTTAAGGTCTAAACTAGCAGAGACTTGAGTGACAAAAAACAAAGAAGGAACCTATTTGAACTGGAGAAAGAAGGTGGATGCTGCAGGATTGAGAGACTTTATGGATTTTAAAAGAAACAAAGATGGAGAGTGTCCTCAGGAAACACACACACACACACACACAGGTAGTGTAAGAGATGGATGTTGCCTTTCACCAAACTATTAAGTAGAGAAGGAGAAGCAGGAATTATGCTTGTTTGTTTGTTTTTATTTGTGGGAAGTAGGATGGTATCCAGAAGGGGATGAAGCTGTTTGGTTTTGGACAAGAATTTAAAATACTTAAAGGCAACTTCATGGAAATGTCTGATAAACATGATCTGTGGATCGGCCATTGCACTCCAGCCTTGGTGACAGAGCGAGACTCCGTCTCAAAAAAACAAACAAAAAAATAAGTTGGTAAGGATATATTTTTTTGTCCATGTTCTGTTTCAACTTATGTAGATTATTATAAATTGATGTAACCCACGTGAGAGGAAAATGTGAATATAAAAATGCAAAGCCCTAACATTTACTCACACACATACACACACATACACAAATCTTCTGAAATTTCATTATTTTCCCCTTTTCTCCCATTAAAGACAGACCTATTATTATCCAGGGACAGTGAAAATGAGAAAAGGAGAATAAAAGGGAACAAAATGGAAGAGAGGAAGCTAAGCACATATTTCTGGGTATATTTTGCAGAAGACACAGGATGCAAAGTACAAGTGGAAGAGAAAGTGGGGATGGAGCCAAAGTTGAGACAAAAAAGGGGGCAGAAATAAAAGAAGGAAAATGGAGCCAGTCAGAAATTGCCCTTCTCTGAGCAAAAGAAACTGTAGAGAATAGTTCTGAATGATAACCAGGTAAAGGAGATCAGAAATAGAGTGGGAAGCAGGTTAGGAGGCTTAACATTTTCAGGTTAGCAAGGTGAGATTTAAAAGGAGAGGAAAAAACATCTCCATGAACTCTCAGTACTTATTTTTATTTTAGAATTAGAACCCTGTGAGAAAGCTGACAATTGTATTTTAGCTCACAAAGATCTCAAACCCTAATATTGTCACTATCCAGGATCTAAACCTTTTAGCTCTGTTGTGGCCTCTCTGGAGGAAGGATTAGGACCATGAATCATGGTATCATCCACATCTGTCCTTGGGCAGTTCTAGAAGATGTCCTAAGCCCCAGGTGACCTGATTCCAATTCATTAAAAAGGTGAGCCACATATATTCTTTCAACAGTAAGTGTCCCAATGCTGATGATGAAGATGAGAAAATATCTTCCAGTAGCTTAACTTTTTTTCAGTTTCAATACTTTCAATATATCCAGTTTCAATAGTTGCATATAACTTCAAATATTTGGCTTTAATTGAAAATGTTCACCAAACTTTGAAAATGGGGAGAGAGAGTTGCACATATTATACACAATATGTATGTGTATTGCATCAAACACTTATAATGTGTCTTGTACAGGTTCCAGTTTCCAGTTATTTAAAGGGATTAAGAACTTCAAGACTGAATCTGAGTGGAGACTCTGACATATAAATACAGACTTATCCAATTGGGATCATACTGCATATGTTTTTATTATTTGCTTTATTCTCAACATTGTATTCAGAACATCTTCCCATGTTATCAAAAATTATTTTAGAACAGAGAATCCTCTTCAGTTTTTACATTTGTCCTTGTACTTGTTCATCATGGCGATATTATGTTTTGTTAATGGTTGCTGCATAGATAGGGCGCAGTGGCTGGCTCTTGTAATCCCAGCACTTTGGAAGAGACGGGTGGGTCTCTTGAGTCCAGGAGTTCCAGAGCAGCTTGGGCAGCATGGCGAGACCCCAGCTATACAAATACAAAAAAATTAGCTGGGCGTGGTGGCGCGCGCCTGTAGTCCCAGCTACTCAGGAGGCTGAGGTGGGAGGATCCCTTTAGCCCAGGAGGTCGAGGCTGCAGTGAGCCGTTATAGCGTCACTGCACTCCAGCCTGGGTGACAGAGTGAGACCCTGTCTCAAAAATAATAATAGGCTGGGCGCAGTGGCTCACGCGGTAATCCCAGCACTTTGGGAAGCCGAGGAGGGCGGATCACTTGCAGTCAGGAGTTCCAGACCAGCCATGGCCCAACATGGTGAAATCCCGTCTTTACTAAAAATGCAAAAATTAGCCGGGTGTGGTGGCGCATGCCTGTAGTCTCAGCCATTCGTGAGGTTGAGGCAAGAGAATTGCTTCCTGGAGGCGGAGGTTGCAGTGAGCCCAGATCGTGCCACTGTGCACTCCAGCTTGGGTGACAGAGCAAGACTCTGTCTCAAAAACAAAACAACAACAACAACAAAATAATAATAATAATTGCTGTATCTTTAGGCAATCTTTGCAGTTTTTGCAGTAGATGTTAAGCTACCTTTCTAAAATGCAGTGGGACATTTTGTTGTTTTTGTGTTCTGCAACAGTTTATGTAAACCTGTATTGGAATGACAAGAAGTACGATATTATTCCAAATCTTGTACTCATGCTAGTTCATATCCTATGCCACTCTGTGGTCTCTTCCTCATCAATGTCCCTTCCTCATCGATGTCCCTGGGTTCCTGAGCAAAGCCTAAAGTAAGACACTCTAAAAATTTTGACTGAATATTCGGCAATAATTTGAGCTTGGTCTTAACCCCAAAGAAAATACTATAGAAGAAAACACTAGGAAAAATAGAAGTTGATGGGATTCTTTGTTGACGAGTGTAGTGTTCAGGAAGGGAGAGATTTTGCTCGGATTTCATTGTGTTAGAATAACATGTCATTTTCAAGGAACCAAAATCATACTGTGTAATGGACAGACCGGTGTTATAGTTCTACTTAAGGGTTGGACGTTTCACATCTTTCCTATCCCATCCACACTTTTGGTGACTGTGGGGTTCCCCCCAAACACCCTATTGTTCTGTGCATTAATCCACAGCGAGCTGGTGACGCGTTTTTGTCAAGACCAAATCAAACTTGGGAAGTCTTCAAGTCAGGAATGGAAGTCACTAAGCTCCATGTAAATAAACAGTATATGTGAACTGAATAACCTACTTTGTTCCGGCCTTACGCCAACCCTGCACTTCCAACAGAACCATCTTTGAAGTTTCCTGGCCATCACTGCCCCGCTTCCAGCGTCGCCATCATTCCTTTCACACACCCCACTTGCCGAAAGTACGTTCTGTGCGCTCTCTCACCCTCCTCTTGATTGTTTTCCCTAAGGGGTGCAGCATCAGTTCAGAACTGAAAATCTCCCTATCCCACTTCTCGAAGCCATTAATCAGAGATTTCAACAGGGTTCACCGCTGATGACCCATCTAACTGCTCGTCCTCTCACAGTTTCTGACAACTGTGTATTAGTATTTGCAAGTTTTGGAAGGTGTTGTAAATAGTTTTTAACTGTTAGTGAATTTTAATTTCAAACGAGGAACTTTTTATTAAGCTGGATCTTTGAAGTCAGCACTTAAAAAGCCCCCTTCCCCACCATGTTACATTCCCTTTGTGTGCTATATAAGCATCTGTCTTTGGCGGTTGGCCGCGTGGCCTAATGGATAAGGCGTCTGATTCCGGATCAGAAGATTGAGGGTTCGAGTCCCTTCGTGGTCGTCGTTTTGCGTTCTCTGGTTCGAAAGATATTTGTTGATTCAGAGCATTTTCCCTTTTCTTGCTCCGGTCTGGCTGCCAATTAACAACTAAAGGTAGAAGTCTTATTTAACGAGTATATACGGTGTGCCTGCCCTGTGACAACTGCTTTATAAAAGAACAAAGCAGAAATAGCACTTGGCCTCAAAGAGCTTACTTTCTACTGGATCTAACAGTTGAAATCAAGCAAACGCTGGGAAGAAAAAAAAATTGTTTCCACTCCTGTGAAAAAAAGAAGTACGAGGATAAAATAAAAAAATAAGGGATGGGGACTTCTTTAGGAAGCATCCACCCTCCTGGAGGTCCTGAAGAAATGCTATTTAGCTGAAAAATGAGTATTTTTCAGGCAGAAGGAATAGCATTTGTTAATTCACTGAGAATCTGAAATCACTAAGTATTTTCAAAGTTCAGGTTGCTGAACTCTTGTGTGTATGTGTTTGGAGCTGGGGGTGGGTGGGGGCGGGGGAAGGAGTGGAAATCACTACAGAGAAAAATCAACAAAAAGGGATAAAGGGAGTTAAATTTCTGGGAACAAGATCTCTCACAGAGATTCTCTATGGCTGAGACTCTGAACATGGTTTAAAATTAGTGTTCTCCAGATTTTCACTAACTACCAAAAAAGGTAACTGTCATCACCTGGCAAATCGTCATCACTTAAGCCTAAAGGCAGAAACCACCAAAAGCTTTAATCCAAACTGAGCTGTCCTCTAGTGCAACCTGTATTAGAGTAGTCATGATAGGTTGAATTTTTGCAAGTGGGCCAATGCCATAAATTGATCTGAACATTACTGCAAAGAAAGCACAGTGAGAGCAGGATCAAGCAAGTTTTCATCATTTTTAATTGAGCTCCAGTCGCTTCTTGAGGAAAAGAAAGCTAAAATTGATTCTCAAGAACATTTGTTTCTGTGAGAATATGTGGTAACTGAATAAGAATTCTTTAAAAAGAAACAACGCAATTCCCAGATTTAACACCAACGCCAGTTAACATTTACCGAATGCATACACTGTAGCTGCACTATTCCAACTATGAGAAATATATTAATAGTCTTCTTTTACAGATGTAGAAACTGACACCTAAAAGGGTATAACACATTGCCCAACACAACTAATAAAGGGTAAAGCTGGAAACTTAACCAAAATATTAAGTTATTTCTGGAGCACAAGTCTCAATGTTTAGAACAAATTTTTATTGTTTAATGGCACGATGCAGTGTGGTAAAATATATATAACATAAAATGTCACTTTAACTTTTTTTTTTTTTTTGAGACAGAGTTTTGCTTTGTCGCCAGGCTGGAGTGCAGTGGCGCGATCTGGGCTATCTCGGCTCATTGCAACCTCTGCCTCCCGGGTTCAAGCGATTCTCCTGCCTCAGTCTCCCGAGTAGCTGCGAGTACAGGCGCATGCCACCACGCCCAGCTAATTTTTTCTACTTTTAGTAGAGACGGGGTTTCACTGTGTTAGCCAGGATGGTCTCCATCTCCTGACCTCGTGATCCACCCGCCTCGGCCTCCCAAAGTGCTGGGATTACAGGCGTGAGCCACCGCACCCAGCCCTTGTTTTGGCATTTTAAAGAGACAGGGTCTCATTCTCACTGCAGTCTTGAACTCCTGGGCTCAAAGAATCCTCCTGCCTCAGCCTCCCGTGTAACTTAAACTACAGTCATGTGTCACAACACCTGGCTAATTTTTAATTTTTTGTAGAGATGTGGGGGGCAGCATGGACTCACCATGTTACTCAAGCTGGTTTTGAACTCCTGGTCTCAAGCAATCCTCCCGCCTTGACTTCCCAAAGTCCTTGGATTACAGGCATGAGCCTCAGCCCCTCACCTTTTGTCTTTTTGAAATCGCCTATTCTAGATATTTCATATAAGTGGAGTTATACAGTACTTGTGTCCTTTCATACCTAGCCTATTTCATCACTAAGCAAAATGTTTTCAAGTTTCATCCATCTCACAGCATATACCAGCATATATCCCATATTGTATGTATATTCATTTTTTAAAATTTCTTATATTTTGATGCCTATTCTGCTTACGCAGTTTTATTTTTGTTATTTTGCTTATCTGCTCATCTGTTGATGGCTGGATTCTCCTTTTAGCTATTATGAATGATGCTGCAAAGAACATTGGATTACAAGGATCTGTTTGAGTCTCTGCTTTCAATTCTTTTGGGTATACACCTAGAATTGCTAAGTCATATGCTACACCCATGTTTAGCTTTTTAAGGGAACCACCAAACCGGTTTCCACAGTGGCTTTATCATTTTACATTCTCACCAACAATGCATGAAAGTTCCAGTTTATCCACATCTTCACCAACACTTTTTCATTGGCCATTTTCCTGATTATAGCCATCCAAGAAAGTTTGAAATGGTACCCTACTTTGGTTTTGATTTGCATTTCCCCTAGTGAATAAAGACAGAGTACTTTCCAAGTGCTTATTGCCTATTTACATATTTTGTTTGGAGAGGTGTCTATTTGAGTTCTTTGTGCATTTAAACTGAGTTGCCTTGTTGATTTTCAGTTCTAAGGTTTGGTTTTTGTTTTTTTGGATATATCTGGATGTTAGACCCTTATCAAACATGTAATTTCCAAGACATTTTCACCAATTCTATGTGCTCTTTTAACACTGCCTAATGTCCTTTGATGCACAAAAGTTTCTTTTGATTAAATTCCATTTATCATCTATTTGTTGTCTTTCAGATGGAGCTGTCACCCAGGCTGGAATGCAGTGGCATGATCTAAGCTCACTGCAGCCTCTACCTCCAGGTTCAAATAATTTTTCTGCCTCAGCCTGGTGTCCAGAATTGGTGGGTTCTTGGTTTCACTGACTTCAAACATGAAGCTGCAGACCCTCGTGATGTTATTTTTTAAAGACAGTGTGGCTGGAGTTTGTTCTTTCTGATGTTCACCCATGTTCTGAGTTTCTTCCCGCTGGTGGGTTCCTGGTCTGGCTGGCTTACAAGGAGCGAAACATGCA
The DNA here is from genome assembly GCF_000001405.40 of Homo sapiens. Classification (NCBI taxonomy): domain Eukaryota; kingdom Metazoa; phylum Chordata; class Mammalia; order Primates; family Hominidae; genus Homo; species Homo sapiens. Next base: position 150,058 of record NT_167244.2, read on the forward strand.
GACCTTCAGCGTAAGTGTTGCAACTCTTAAGATGGTATGTCTGAAGTTGTTCATTTCTCCTGATGCGCTCATGGTTCTTGCCGGTCTCAGGAGTGAAACCGCAAATCTTCACAGTAAGTGTTACAGCTCACACAGGAAATACAAACCTCAAAAAGCAAGCAGCAGTAAAATTTATTACAAAGAACATAAAGAACAAGGTTTCCACAACAGAGAGATCGACTCCGAGTAGGTTATCGTGGCTGCTCCGCGCAGCCTGCTTTTATTGCCTTATCTGGCCCCACCCACATTCTGCTGATTGGTCCATTTTACAGAGAGCTGATTGGTCTGTTTTACAAAGAACTGATTAGTCTGTTTTGACAGGGTGCTGATTGGTGTGTTTACAGTCCCTGAGCTAGACACAGAGTGCTGATTGGTGCATTTACAATCCTTTAGCTAGACATAAAGGTCCCCACTAGAGTTGCTAGATTCAGAGTGCTGATTGGTGTATCCACAAACCCAGAGCTAGACACAGAGTGCTGACTGGCACATATACAATCCTCTAGCTAGCCATAAAAGTTGTCCAAGTCCGCACCCGCCTCAAGAGCCCAGCTGGCTTTGCCTAGTGGATCCCGCACTGGGGCCACGGGCGGAGCTGCCCGCCAGTCCCGTGCCACGCACCTGCACTCCTCAGCCCTTGGGCGGTCGATGGGACCGGGCGCCGCGGAGCAGGGGGCGGCGCCCATCAGGGAGACTTGGACCGCAAGGGAGCCCACGGGTGGGAGGGTCGGGGGCGGGCTGGGGCATGGCGAACTGCAGGTCCCGTGCCCTGCCCCATGAGGAGGCGGCTGAGGCCCGGCGAGAATTCGACCGCAGCGCGGGCGGACGGGCAGTGCTGGGGGACCTGGCGCCCCCTCCGCAGCTGCTGGCCCAGATGATAAGCTCCTCACTACCCGCGCTCAAGACACCAATCCGCACTAGCTCATGGTTTGTGGATGCACCAATCAGCACTCTATCTAGCTAACCTGGTGGGGACTTGGAGAATCTTTAGGTAAGGAGTGTGAATACACCAATCGGCACTCTGTATCTAGCTAACCTGGTGGGGACTTGGAGAATCTTTATGTCTTGTAGCTAAGGGTTTGTGAATGCACCTAATCAGCACTCTGTATCTAGCTCAAGGTTTGTAAACACACCAATCAGCACCTTGTGTCTAGTTCAGGGTTTATGAATGCACCAGTCAGCACTCTGTAACTAGTTAACCTGGTGGGGACTTGGAGAATGTTTATGTCTAGCTAAGGGATTGTAAATACACCAGTCAGTACCCTGTATTTAGCTCAAGGTTTGTAAATACACTTTGCGTCTAGCTCAGGGTTTGTAAATACACCAATCACACTCTGTATCTAGCTAATCTAGTGGGGACTTGGAGAACTTCTGCGTCTCGCTCAGGGATTGTAAACGCACCAATCAGTACCCTGCCAAAACGGACCAATCAGCTCTCTGTAAAATGGACCAATCAGCAGGATGTGGGTGGGGCCAGATAAGAGTATAAAAGCAGGCTGCCTGAACGGTGGTGGCTGTTTGGTTAATGCTTTCTCCACATTGTGGAAGGTTTGTTTTTTTTGCTGTTTGCAATGATTCCTGCTGCTGCTCGGTTTTTGCATGCGCATTGCCTTTGTGGGCTGTGATAATTGCTGTGAAAGTCTGCAGTTTCATTCCTGAAGCCAAGGAGACCATAAACTCACTGAGAGGAACCAATGACTCCAGACACACCGTCTTAAGAGCTGTAACAGTTACTGCCAAGATTGGTAGCTTTCCCGAGTCAGCGAAACCACGAACCCACCTGAATGGAATGAAACTCTGAACATATGCAAACATCAGAATGAACAAATTCCCCACACACTGCTCTTCAGAACTGCCACACTCACGGCCAGGGTCCATGGCTTCATTCTTGAAGTCAGTGAGATCAAGAACCCACCAATTCCTTGGCACATTAGGATCACAGGTGTTGAGCCACGGTTCCTGGATGCGTGGAGATTTCTAATAGTTGTACCTGTTGTATTTATGCTACATACTACAACATATATGTATACTATAATGTTTATAATGCCTGAACCCCACCCATAAAAATGAACATGCCATAACCTGGTCATTGTGAGAACCATAAGTGTACCCAAATACATCGTAGTAGGTAGCAATGCCCTGGCTAAAGACTACTGCGTGTTAGTACAGGTAAAGAATTAGCACAGATAAATTTTATTCAGTGCCCAAATAAAGTATTTTAAGGCTCAAGTGGGGCCAGGCACGGTAGCTAACACCTGTAATCCCAGCACTTTAGGAGGCCGAGGCGGGTGGATCACGGGGCCAGGAGATCATGACTATCCTGGCTAACACGGTGAAACCCCATCTCTACTAAAAATAAAAAAATTAACTGGGTGTAGTGGTGGGCGCCTGTAGTCCCAGTCCCAGCTGCTTGGGAGACTGAGGCAGGGAGGGGAAGGTTGCAATGAGCTGAAATCTCGCCATTGCACTCCAGCCTGGGCAACAGTGAGACTCCATCTCAAAAAAAAAAAAAAAAAAAAACTCAAGTGTTGTACTCCATAGTTTCCCTTTAATGAAAAGCTGATTGCTTTTTTGAAGAGAACTTCGTATTTTTTATCTCAGAGTTTCCTTTTAAAAGAAGCAGGCCAGGCGCGGTGGCTCACGCCTGTAATCCCAGCACTTAGAGGCTGAGGCAGGTGGATCACGAGGTCAGGAGTTCAAGACCAGCCTGGCCAAGATGGTGAAACCCCGTCTCTACTAAAAATACAAAAAATTAGCCTGGCATGGTGGCACGCGCCTGTAATCCCAGCTACTCCAGAGGCGGAGAATTGCTTAAACCTGGAGGGGCGGAGCTTGCAGTGAGCCGAGATCGCACCACTGCACTCCAGCCTGGGTGACAGAGCGAAACTCCGTCGCAAAATAAATAAATAAATAAAAAAGAAGCATATGTTAGTTTGTTTCCACAGTAAGTGAAGACAGGCCATGTCACAAAAAGACGGGGAACAACACTGGACTGTAGCTCGTAGACAAAGGAAACCTTGAGAAGTTTAACACTGTATCATAGTTTTAGACAGAACACAATAATTACATTGTTAGAACAAAGTACTTAAAGAACTGATGTTACTTTTTTTTTCTTTATTTAAGAGCATAACTTAACAATAGTCCCACTTGGTCAGGCCTATGATCCCCCCAGTCTATTACTGTATGATTCTGAAGCTGTGGGAGGAAGCAATGCCCTCCTACATATCAACTCATGAATTACATATACATCTTCAAAAGATCAGAGATTTCCATTTTAGCCATCTCGTCAATATTTCTACATAAGTTTAAAATACTTTTGTTTTCACTTTATGCCACTTCTTAAAACTGAATTTCAGCAAGTACACTATATAAGTCCAGGATTTAATTCTATTTATTTTAATTTAACTCATTTCAATAAACATTTATGGAATGCAAATGCCAATCACTATGCCAGCTACATGCATACAAAGATGAGGAAGAACCATCTGGTTCCCTTTCTCTCAATTTGTACCAACATCACTAGATCTGTGTGACAGTCTGGGAATAGGACTACACATAGTGGTCCAGGTTTTGAACAGAGACAAGAAAACAATTTATTTCTTTTTTAATTTTTATTTTAGTTTTAGTTTTAGTTTTTTGAGGAGGGGTCTCACTCTGTTGCCCAGGCTGGAGTGCAGTGGCATGAACACAGCTCACTGCAACCTATTCCTCCTGGGCTCAAGTGATTCTCCCACCTCAGCCTCCCAAGTAGCCAGGATTACAGGCCTGCACCACCACGCCTAGCTAATTTATTTTTTGTAGAGACAAGGGTCTCACTATGTTGCCCAGGCTGGTCTCGAACTCTTCGACTCAAGTGATCCTCCTGCCTCAGCCTCTCAAAATGCTGTGATTACAGGTGTGAACCACTGCACCCAGCCGACAATTGATGTCTTAATACCTTTCAACTGATACCCAGTATTTTATAAGCTTTATTGGATATAGTGAGCATCTTTTCCTGAAAGAGAGAGCAGGGAATCACAAATATTACAAAGCTCTGTTTTCACAAAGGAAGTCTCAGGAGTGAGTGACCATTTCGCCTACCCTCTGAATATCAAAGTTTTCAAACATCTACAGGCTCACACAAAATACTCTTCATTTCCCATCTAAGAGTCGGGAACTTAGAACTGGTCACTGGGTGAGACTGACCCTTTCCTTAAGGAGGATAATGACTGAAAACACATTTATTTCTGCTAAAACAAGTTCTAGCCAACCCATTTCCTGGGCATGCTCTTGACAAATTTACTAAAGTTAAGTGAGGCAAGAAGCTGCCATTCAAACATTTCAAAATTGTTATATTCAAAATATTTCCCTTCTATATCTACTCTCTAAAGGTCAATTACTAGAGAAACACAAAGTTTTACACACATTCATCAGAGGTATATATCTTTTTTCTCTGATATGGGTTTTCTTTTTAATGTCTAAAAAGGTTCTGATGGGAAATAAGACCTTCATTTTGAGTAAAGCATTTTCCATATTCAGGGCAATGAGGAAGTCTTTCCCCTGTATGAATGTTGGGATAGTTAATGAAGTGTGAGCTCTCAATGCAGACTTCCCCAAATACTTTACTTTTATAAGACTTCTCTCTTGTGTGCAGTCTCTCATACGATGTCAGGCCTCCATTGTGACTAAAGCTTTCTCCACATTCCTTAAAGTGATAAGGTTTCTCTCAGTGTGTACTCTATGATGCTTAAGAAAGAGTGGGCTCTGATTAAAAGCTTTCCCATGCATAAGATATTTGTAGGGTTTCTCTCCAGTATGTATTCTCTGATGTTTGAGATGGTCAGAATTCTGAAGGTCTTATTGCATACATTACGCTTGTGGATTTCCCTCCAGTATGAAGCCTCTGATGTTTACTAAGATCTGAGCTCCAAATGAAAGTCTTGCCACACTGATCACATTCATAGTGTCTGTGAAAATACAGCTTCTATAATGCAGGCTTTCACAGTGAAGGCCCTTCTATGCTCATCACACTTATAAGGGTTCTCCCCAGTGTGGATCTTCTGGAGATAGAGGCTAGTGTTCCCACTGAAGGCTTGCCACAAACTTTGTATTTACAGGGTCTCTCTTCAGTGTGGATCCTTTGCTGTTGAATAAGATTTGATTTCTTAGTGAAGAACTGTCTACATTCATCACTTTTACAACCCCTCTTTCCCATAAGTATTTTGTTCAGTACAGTTTTCATGACTTCTCTATGATCTCTTTTTCCTGGGGTGAAAATGTTCTCTGTCTCACCAACAAAGGATTTTCTTAGTGCCTCTCATACCTGCCCTCAGGGTCACAAATGTTTTCAATTGCAGGATTTAAGGGATCATCACTTTTCCATCTTCCCAGGAACAGTGAGTGAGATGCTACTTCTTCAGTACTTTTTGGAACCCTGAAGTCATGCTTAGCTTTCTAAACCTATACTCAGTCCAGGCATGGTGGCTCATACCTGTAATCCCAGCATTTTGGGAGGCTGAGGTAGGAGGATCACTTGAACCCAGGAGTTTGAGACCAAGCTAGGCAACATCATGAGACCCCATCTCTAAAAAAAAAAAAAAAAAAAAAAAAAAAAGCTGCTCATGGTGGTGTGTACCTGTAGTCCCAGCTACTCAGGAGGCTGAGATGGGAGGATTGCTTGAACCAAGAGGTCAAGGCTGCAGTGATTGTGCTATTGCACTCCAGCCTGTGCAACAGAGCAAGACTCTGTCTCAAAAATAATAAATAAACCTACACTCACCTTCTGAAATAAAACAACAAAAAATTATTTAAATTTCACTGCTAAATAAGAGCAGTAAGTTCTATTTCCCTTTCCTTCAACAGATTTGCAAATTTAGCTGTAAATGAAGGATTTGAACACAAACAAATTCACACTAAACTCTAGTTTCAGTGTTTCCTATCTTGTTGGCTATATGACCTTAGGCAAGTCACATAACTTTGTGCATCTGTATCTTTGCCTACAAAACATGGACAACAGTTGCAACCTCAAAGGGTTATGAAAGCACACAAAACTGTGTCTGACACACTGTAAGCATTATTAAGTGTGAGTTGCTATTGTTACCATTGTTGTCACATCTCAGTATCCCAACATGTTGCTTATCTTAAATTGAAAAGGATTAAGAAATGTTACTTGCTATTTCTACAAATTCTTTCTTGGTTATTAAAATGTCATGTAAGTAGCTTTGTAGCAAGTCTTGTGTATAGTAGTTCCTTGCTATATACCTGGTATAAAGACGAATAAGATGCCCTCTTGAAGGCCACAACCTAGAGATGTCCTTCAGTTACAAGGCAGTGTGGTAAATACTATAAGAGTGAAGCATAAGAGCTTTGGGAGTGCAAAGAAGGAAACATCTAACTGCCTGAGAGAATCAAACAGAAAGTTTTGCAGCGGAATGGTTGATTGGCGTATCTTAAAACATAAATACAAATAGTCAGAAAAAGGGAAGGCAGTAAAAGCTTTCTAGATGGAAAGTATATACATACAAAGTTATTAAGGCACTTTTAAAATGGTACTTTCAGACAGTTGAGAACAGTTTGGTCTAGCTGGAACACAGATTGAATATGAAGGCGAAAGGAGATAAAGCTGAAAATGTAAGCTACATCATGAACAGTCTTGTTGCCAGGATAATGAATTGAACCATTAACAGATGCTAAGAATGTGTGTAGGCCAGGCACGGTGGCTCACGCCTGTAATCCCACCACTTTGGGAGGCTGACGCTGGTGGATCACGAGGTCAGGAGATCTAGACCATCCTGGCTAACACAGTGAAACCCTGTCTCTACTAAAAATACAAAAAATTAGCCGGGCGTGGTGGCAGGCGCCTGTAGTCCCAGCTACTCAGGAGGCTGAGGCAGGAGAATGGCGTGAACCCAGGAGGCGGAGCTTGCAGTGAGCCGAGATCGCCTCACTGCACTCCAGCCTGGTGACAGAGCGAGAATCCGTCTCAAAAAAAAAAAAGAAGGTGTGTGTAATATTAGCTTTCAGTTTTATGCAAGTCACTATAGTGACAGTGTGAAAGATGGTCTTCAAGGAGAAAATGGACAAGACTGGCCGGGCACGGTGGCTCACGCCTGTAATCCCAGCCCTTTGGAGGCCAAGGCAGACAAATCTCTTGCGGTCAGGAGCTCAAGACAGGCCTGGCCAACATTGTGAAAACCCGTCTCTACTAAAAATACAAAAATTAGCCGGGCGTGGTGGCACGGGCCTCCCAGCTACTCGGAAGACTTAGGCAGGAGAATCGTTTGAACCGGGGAGGCAGAGGTTGCAGAAAGCCGAGATCGCGCCACTGCACTCCTGGGATTGATTGATTGATTGATTGATTGATTGATTTAGACAAAAGGTCTCTGTTGCCTAGGCTGGAGTGCACTGGTGTGATCTCGGCTCACAGCAACTTACACCTCCCGGGTTTAAGTGATTCTCCCACCTTCGCCCCCTCGAGTAGCTGGGACTACAGGCACGCACCGCCACACCCAGCTAATTTTTGTATTTTCTGGTAGAGACAGGGTTTCACCATGTTGGCCAGGCTGGTCTCGAACTCCTGAGCTCAAGTGATTCGCCCACCTCAGCCTCCCAAAGTGGTGATCCTGGGTTTTAACCAGAATAGAGGACATACCACTACCCACTTATTGAACATATTCTAAATAAGTTTTCTTATCCTAAAATATTTTATATTCCAATATTGGAATCGCCTGAGTCCAGGGTGGTCAAGGCTGCAGTGAGCTATGATTGTGCTACTGCACTCCAGCCTGAGTGACAGAGTGAGACCCTGTATAAAAAGGAAGGAAGGAAGGAAGGAAGGAAGGAAAAGAAAAAAAATTATAGAAAATAGATTGTCGGTTGCCTGCAGGTTGGGGGAGGCTGAGAGATGGGGAGTGACTGCTAAGGAGTATTTTTTTTTACCTTGAGGTGATAAAAATGTTCTAACACTGATGGTGATAATGTTTGCACAACTCTGAATATTCTAAAAGTGATTGAATTGAATTGAATGGTGTGTAAATTATATCTCAATAAAGCTGGTAAAAATTTAGTGATTCAATAAAATCCTTTATTTGGTCAATGTACGGTATTCTGTCAGTTGAGACAAAAGTTAACATTCGAATTTAGATTTAGATTTTATATCTTCAGCTTCTTCTATCTAGAAAAGGCATTCACTAGTAATTATTAGGATGATTGTGCATTGTTATGTACAGATAACCGCAGTGACTTATCTGATAGTCCTTTAACAGACAGGAGTACTAGTGTAGTTACTTTGTTTTTATGTAACTAGGTAGGTCTTATGTAATGTCTTATTTGTCTGAATGAAAGATTATTGTGTCTTTAGCAGAGGAAAAGAGATAATCTCTCCGCACTGAAGATTATTTTAATGAGTAGTATAAGTAATGATATACACAAAATGGGAAATTATCTTGGCCTTAATGAACCATGTATTCTACATATAGAGTATAGAATACATGGCTTCTGTAAATAAAAGTTTCCAGTATTGGAATATAAAAAAATTTAGGATAAGAAAACTTATTTAGAATACATTCGATAAGTGGGTAGTGGTATGTCCCCTATTCTGCTTAAAACCCAGGATCACCACTTTGGGAGGCTGAGGTGGGCGAATCACTCAAGGTCAGGAGTTCGAGACCAGCCTCGTCAACATGGTGAAACCCTGTCTCTACTAAAAAATATAAAAATTAGCCAGGTGTGGTGGTGCACGCTTGTAGTCCCAGCTACTCGGGAGTCTGAGGCAGGAGAATCCTTTGAACCTGCGAGGCAGTGGTTGCAGTGAGCCAAGACAGCGCCATTGAACTTTAGCCTGGGTGATACAGCAAGACTCTGTCTCAAGAAAGAAAGAGAGAGAGAGAGAGAGAGAAAGAGAGACAGAAGGAAGAAAGGAGAGAAGGAAGGGAGGGAAAGAGAGAGAGAAAGAAGGAAGAAAGGAAGGAAAGAAGGAAGGAAGGAAGGAAAGAAACGCAATTTAATTCAGTTCAACTGCAGTTGAGCATTTGTGGGGGTGGGGGCGGGGTTGGGATGAGGGGTTGGAGACAAGCCCAGGCTGGTCTTGAACTCCTCGCCTCATGTGATCCTCCCTCCTCAGCCTCACCCAAGTGCTGGGATTATAGGTGTAAACCACCGTGCCCAGCAGGACAGTCAAGAAAATTGAAACTGGAAAGTACCTTGGCCTTTTACCCCAAATCTACACAATTTTACACAGTGGCAGTGCTTTTTCCTCTAACGCTATAATAGAATTCTGCAGGAGAATTCTTTCAGGGAGTTCACCTTTTGTTTTATTAGAGAGCTAAGTAACCTTGGGAGGTTGGGCTGACTTTGGAAGCTTCTGGAAATAAATGGGGGTTTAACAGATATTAACTTCATCCCGCCTTACAGATAAATGCCATTTTACTTTGAAAAGCAGTAGGTGGGGGTAGGGGGCGAGAAATAGAAAATTCCATCAGTTTGGTGAAAGCTTTTAGAGGATAACGTACTCTGTTCCATGAAAGAATCAGAAATGTGAGCAATGCAGGGAGAAGTAAGGTAAATCCAGACAAGCAGGATGGATTCCAGATGAGAAACCATATCTTCCATAGTGAATTTTGAAATGAATTTAAAATCTCCTATTATATAATCTGCAGTTTACTTTGTTTTCTTGTTGGAGAAAGTGGTTTTTGGAGTCCAAGTATGCAGAGGGCACCTAGGATTCCAGAGTTAATGGGACTGAAGAGAAAAAAGCGTAACCTGACCCAGATTCTGCTGCTCACCGCTCCAAAGCCAAATGCTAGAGGGGAGGTTTGGTGGGAGGAAAAGCTGCTTTTAATCCGAAAGCCAGCAAACTGAGAAGATGGAACACTAGTGTTCTAAAGTACCACCTTAAAATTTAAATTTTACCATACGGTTTTTGTGTTTTTGTTTTTTTGTTTTTTGTTTTTTCCTGTGACAGAGTCTCACTCTGTTGCCCAGGCTGGAGTGCAGTGGTGCAATCTTGGCTCACTGCAACCTCCACCTCCCGGGTTCAAGTGATTTTCCTGCCTCAGCCTCCTGAGTAGCTGGGATTACAGGCATCTGCCACCACACTCAGCTAATTTTTGTGTTTTTAGTAGAGACAGGGTTTCACCATGTTGGCCAGGCTGGTCTCGAACTCCTGACCTCAAGTGATCCACCTGCCTCGGCCTCCCAAAGTGCTGGGATTACAGGCGTGAGCCACCACTCCGGGCCTACCATAGGGTTTTATTTATTTATTTATTTATTTATTTATTTATTTATTTATTAATTATTTTTTTTGAGACGGAGTCTCACTCTGTTGCCCAGGCTGGAGTGCAGCGGGCAATGTGGGCTCACTGCAAGCTCCGCCTCCCGGGTTTAGGCGATTCTTCTACCTCAGCCTCCCGAGTAGCTGGGACTACAAGCACCCACCACCACACCCGGCTAATTTTTTGTATTTTTTAATATTTTTAGTAGAGACGGGGTTTCACTGTGTTAGCCAAGATGGTCTCAATCTCCTGACCTCGTGATCCGCCCGCCTCGGCCTCCCAAAGTGCTGGGATTACAGGCCTGAGCCACTGCACCCGGCCAGCAATATTTCTTCTGTAAAAGAAAAGAATAAGTGTTCCACATGGAAAGAACCCAAGATATATTAAGTGAAAAATGTCATAGCATGACTACATTTCTGTTAAAAAAAAAAAACAAAATGTTATATATATATGCGAATGCAGAGAAAAAAGAAATGTAAAAAATACAATAAATTTTTCACGGTGATTACATTTGCGAGAGGAACGTACAGCTTTCATATTTCATTCAATGGTTAAAATGGTACTCAATTTTGACTGACAAAACGGTAATGATCAGATGCCAAAACGAGTGTGAATGTGCATAATTTACGAAAGACATTTTTGAGAACTGGTTACATGAGTTTTGAAAATAGGAGAGCAGAGGACCTGTGTAAGATTTTTAAAGAGACTGCACTGTCACGAGCCACAGCGTTGTGAGATTGGTAGGAAAGTGCTCCAGGAAATATCTAGGGGAGGGCTTGGATCTGAGACACAGAGTGTGAGCCTGGTCGAGAAGCGGGAAAAGAACCCGCCCAGAGCCCCTTCTCTCCATTCCCTCGGCGAGGCAGGAAGCTATCTGCGTTCCGAATCCCGCGACATCAGGATTATCTCGCACTGCAGCACAGAGACCAATCGCTAGTAACCTCTGCCTTTAATTAGGCGTTTTTTGGCCCAAATCTCGCGGCTTCGTAAAAATATCGCGATGCTTCCGCTTTTAATGTTTTTAGTTTGGACAAGCCCTTTGAGATAAATTTAAAAGCCAATTCTTTTTTTTTTTTTTTTTTTTTGAGACGGAGTGTCGCTCTGTCCCCAGGCTGGAGTGCAGTGGCGCGATCTTGGCTCACTGCACGCTCCGCCTCCCGGGTTCACGCCATTCTCCTGCCTCATTCCCGAGTAGCTGGGACTACAGGCGCCCGCCACCACGCCCAGCTATTTTTTTTGTATTTTTAGTAGAGACGAGGTTTCACCGTGTTAGCCAGAATGGTCTCGATCTCCTGACCTCGTGATCCACCCGTCTCGGCCTCCCAAAGTGCTAGGATTACAGGCGTGAGCCACCGCGCCCGGTACCTAAAAGCCGATTCTTAAAAATATACGTTGGTAATTGTTTATGCCTACTGCTGAGATCAGGATATCTCTAAAGTAAGGAGAGGAAAAAGAAAAGTATGTGTCAGAAGTGGGATTCGAACCCACGCCTCCATTGGAGACCAGAATCCCCACCGCGGAGGAAGCTTAGCTTGAGTCTGGCGCCTTAGACCACTCGGCCATCCTGACACACTGCATAACAGCCCTGATTTTTGCACTAAAATAGAGATCAACAAGCAATGATTCTGTGTCGTGCACGCACGCAGAAACGCGATGACGTCAGGGTTGCTTGGTAACAGAAGGGCAGAAAGCCACTTGTGGATTGAAAAAGCAAAAGGGTTCGCAGGACTAGAAAATGTTTCTGCATAAAACTGGATCAAGTCTCTTACGGGCCTTATAACTGTTATCGCCATCTCGAAAAACGTGTGCGGGTTTTTTTTTTTTTTTTTTTTGCTCCCAGCCTGCCCAGATTTCAGGAAGGAAAGAAGATCTTTTGCTTCTTCGGTCGCTGGGTCGGCTCTCCAGTGTCTGATGTTTACTGAAATCTTGATCGTGGTTAGCCTCCCCCAGGACTTCATTGTTTGGAAGATGGTGAGGAACAAAACAAAACCCTAACAAAAGACCCCGGTTCTATAGGAAGGTCCCCTTTTAGCCCCTCTATTTTGGTTCCATTTGTCACTGCCTTGCCACTCGTCGAAGTTTGTCTTGGGCTCTAAAAGTGGTAGCCGGGAACGGCTGGGAAGGTCTCCACAGGGACCACCACATGGGCAAGGCTGGTGTCCGCGCCGAGGGATCGGCGATCCCAGGTCCGGGGAAACTCCGCGAGCGACGCGCTCGCCCGCGGCCTTCCTTGTCGCTCTCGGATGTTCCCGATTAATGGGCTCCAAGTGACCACTGCCAGGTCGGGGAACACAGCGGTAGTTTTTAAGGGGAGTGCACCACATCGCCTGATCCACTTTTCTGTTTCTCAGCCTTCGCCAAGCAATCTGAGCTCCAGGCCGGGAAGCCCCAAGGTCACAAATTTTAATGGAGCCCTGAAACTAAACAGAAATCATCCCTCCCACTAGAACAAGAGCCCCTAGAGGCCAGCGACACCGCTAAAATAACATGTGTAGACCAATGCCGTCCAGGTAACAGTGCCTGGCAAACACGGTAGAGGTTCAATAAATACATTTTAACTCAACCGTCTTAACTCTTGTATTTGGGGCTGTGAGGTTCAGATAGAGGAAATATAAAGTTGGATATTTTAATTAGATTTTGTCCTAATAGCTTACTTTTTGTATTTGTTAATATAAAAAAAATTTCCTTTTTGTAAGGCAAAGTTAGGTCTCTTTTCTGCATGGAGAAATAACTGAGTTTCAGTAGGCTCTATCTTAATTTCCACAGACTTCCTTGGTTTCATATCCTATTTTTGATAGAGAGAAAATTAGTAGTGAGAAGTACAGTGAACACTGGTTCCCCAGTCTCCCTCCAATACATGAGATTTGTATATTTTCTTTCGATTGGAAGGAAATTGTCCAGGAAGTGATTCCCAACATGGCAACTGTAATCTTACCCTAACTATAATTATTTTTTTCTAATTGCAAAGTACACACAAATTGTAGAACATACAAACATGTCAAAAATTAAAATCATCCATAATCTCACTAGTCAGAGGTAACTATTAACATTTTTATATATTTAGTCTTTCATATGGTATACATTTTCCAAAAATGGTCATGTGTAGTAAATAATTTGCTAACTTGCTTTCTAAATGAATATATTATGAATATATACTTGCTAAGTACTATATTTTGCATAAATCTTAATTCCTGCACATATTCCATATCAAAGTGGTATTCTTGAAAACTGGATTATTTCTAATTTTTTATTTTCATCAGCAATGCTGTAAAAACTATCCTTACATAAATATTTTCAAACATCCACGATTATTTCCTTAAATTTCTAAAAGTGAAACCATTACATCAAATTTTTTTTTTTTTTTTTTTTTTTTGAGACGGAGTCTCGCTCTGTCACCCAGGGTGGAGTGCAGTAGCACGACTTGGCTCACTGCAACTTCCACCTCTCGGGTTCACACCATTCTCTTGCCTCAGCCTCCCGAGTAGCTGGGACTATAGGCGCCCGTCACGACGCCCGGCTAATTTTTGTATTTTTAGTAGAGACGGGGTTTCACTATGTTGGTCAGGCTGGTCTCGAACTCCTGACCTCTTGATCCGCCCGCCTCAGCCTCCCAAAGTGCTGGGATTACAGGCGTGAGCCACCGCGCCCGGCCTACATCAATGTTTATCCAGTTTTTGTTTGTTTGTTTTGACGGAGTTTTGCTCTGTTGCCCAGGCTGGAGTGCAGTGGCATGATCTTAGCTCACAGCAACCTATCTCCCAGGTTCAAGTGATTCTCGTCTCAGCCTCCCGAGTAGCTGGAACTACACGCATGAGCCATCACACTCAGCTAATTTTTTTTTGTATTTTTAGTAGAAACAGGGTTTCACCATGTTGGTCAGGCTGGTCTCAAACTCCTGACCTCAAATGATGTGCCCGCCTCGGCCTCCCAAAGTGCTGGGATTACAGGCGTGACCCACCGCTCCTGGCACATTTTAATAGGTAACAAATGATATAGCGCCCCCCCTTTTTTTTCTGATTTGATTATTAGTGAGGTCCAATATTCATGTTTAAAGGATTTTTATACTCCTTCCTCAGTAAATTGCTTACCAAATTTTTATGAGGTGTCCATCTTTCCTTATTGATTTGTAAGACTTATTTTATGAAAAGTAAACTCTTGGGATACAGTTTCTATTTACCAAGAACCCAAGCAGAAATTCCTATCTCTTATTAACAAGAATCCCATTATGTCCCTTAAACATTTAGTTACTTCCATCTTACAGAAACTAGAAGCTATACAATTAACAATGTTCCCATGTCAATTTTTAAAACCCAACTGTGGCCCACATTTAGTGTCCTCGTAGTTTTCATACTATAGATTCACTTCTAATCCTGGTCATTTTTTGTGCCATCTTTTTTTTTAATGAGACGGAGTCTCGCACTGTCACCCGGGTTGGTGTGCAGTGGCGCAATCTCGGCTTGCTTCAAGCTCTGCCTCCCAGGTTCAAGCAATTTTCCTGCCTCAGCCTCCCAAGTAGCTGGGACTACAGGCTCGTGCCACCATGCCCAGTTAATTTTTGTATTTTTAGTAGAAATGGGGTTTTTCACTATGTTGGCCAGGCTGGTCTTGAACTCCTGACCTCGTAATCTGCGTGCCTGGGCCTCCCAAGGTGCTGGGATTACAGGCGTGAGCCACCGCGCCCGGCTGTGCCGTATTTTTTCTTTCTTCCTTTATGGCATGTTAAACTCCTGATGTCTTGATTTTATGGGTTTGTTTTGGTTTTTTTTGAGATGGAGTCTTGCTCTGCTGCCCAGGCTGGAGTGCAGTGGTGCAATCTTGGCTCACTGCAACCTCCGCCTCCTGGGTTCCAGCAATTCTCCTGTCTCAGCCTCCCGAGTCGGGATTACAGAAATGCACCACCACACCTGGCTAATTTTTGTATTTTTAGTAGAGATGGGGTTTCACCATGTTGGCCAGGCTGGTCTTGAACTCCTGACCTCAGGTGATCCGCCCGCCTCAGCCTTCCAAAGTGCTGGTGTGAGCCACCGAGCCCAGACATGATTTTATGTTTTAAATGGCTTTAAGTCCTTTTTGGAATAAGGTAAAATATAATTAAATATGTCAATATTTTAACTATTTACTAATAATATTTATTGCACAATAAGACTCCCCACAGGCCATTCTACATTTTTATGAAAACATCTGTAAGAGGAATTTTAAAAGGCCTGACAAATTATTTAAAGAGGGAAGCAGAGGGACTAAAAAGGAAAGAAGCTAACAATGGCGGTCTATGAAAATGAAATAAACAAAACAAAAAAACAGGATTTAATTTCCAACCTTGAAATGAGTCCCTTGACTGTTTTGTTTGAGGTTCATATAACTTGGTTTTCTGGTATGTCCAGGATTACGTGAGAGTAACAGAGATTGGGGTGGAAATTGAGATGATGCTGTATTCAAATGAGACTGACCATAAATTGGTAGTTGAAGTTGGGAGATGATATAGGAGGGTTCGCTGTGTATTTTCTTCATTTTTGTATATGGTTACAGGTTTCCATAGTGAAGAGTTCATTCAATACAGAAAAAAAAAAAATCACCAAGTCTCATCAAAAGCATCTATGCTAATATTTTGGCATATTTCTTCCCAGTTTTTAAAGAAATATGTAGGTTCAAATCTTTCTAATTCTCACTTTTTTCTATTATTCTTTTTGTGCATCAGAACCCTAAAATGGGTTTGGCAATCACATCCCATACAAATCCAAGTTCTTCACATCCTCTAAACAAAGAATCTGGTAGAGATGTGTGTATCTCTAAAGGTTACCTTCAAATGTCCTGCTTACATTTCAAACTTCAAATGCAAAATTAATTCAACAGATAAGCCAGATCTAAGAAATGTATCTTTTCTCCAACGGGAAAAAGGAAATGTAATGGGGCAATACTGTCAAATGGAAGTACTATTTGGCCTGGCATGGTGGCCCATGCCTGTAATCCCAACACTTTGGGAGGTTGAGGAGGAAGAATCCCTTGAGCCCAGGAGTTCGAGCCTGCAGTGAGTAATAATCTTGCCACTGCATTCCAGCCTTGGTGACAAAGTGAGACCCTTTCTCTAACGCTGGTTTGGTTGGGATTTATTATTACTCTCACAGACTTCATATAGGAGGAATTTCTGGTTTCAACAAAGTGCAGGATTTAGTAATGTGCTTATATCATTAAGTCAAAATTTAGTGCAGGACGGAGCTAGTGGGCAAGTCTCTTAGTCTCAAGAAAAAGGGCACTAAGAAACATAGCCCAGGCATTTAGGCTTCCTCTTACATTACTGTGGTCTGCAATGAGGTCTCCTGGAGCACAAGTTTCACTTCTCCCCAGATCATCTTTAGTTGTACTCTACATTTTTTCACGTTATTTTCCCCCTCTCCTAATTAACTTTTCAAAGGATAGAAGCCATGCTCTCTTGTATTCTCTTCAGGAGCAAGTTCAGCTGGGGCACCCAACACTGGCTGAATTGTCTATTTGAATAAAAGAATGTTTTTCATTTGTGAAGAAGCAACTCAACCACCATTGGTATGCTAAGAACCTTTTGAGTTTTGTTTTTTATTTTGCTGGGAGGAGATACGTGATTTCCACGTATACTCTTTGGTCTGCATCTCAGGTAACTAAAGGAATTAGCAAATGGCTCTCATTTACCATCTGACAGTTATTTGCTCTTAATTTCATAGTGCCTTTAAGTGTTAGGCTGTTACATGCATTCTCTCATCTTCTCACTTAATTGTACATGGTGGAGGGTATGGGCCATGTTCAGTTTCCCTTTATTCTTTGAACCTATCTCTTCTAGGCCTTGTCTGCTCTTGGGGAAGATGGTCTTCTTTGCATGTTGGCCTTTATCAGAAAAAACAAGAGCACCTGAAGACACACAGGCATGTGCACATACGTGCATGCACAAACACACACTTCCTGGAACAGCAAAAGAATTAAGGAAGAAGTTATTGAAACCGTAATGTATAATTAACAATTGCAGATGTTCTGAGGAAAGAGAGGGGAGTCAAAGGAATCGGAGTGGGCCCCATATGTCTTTAGTGACTCAATTCCTGACTCGGTGAACTCAAAAGTTGCTTACCTTTCTGCAGATGAGTAAACTTAGAATCACAAGTTCATTTAATCCCATTCAAAATGGCAGGCTTTTAAAACTAAAAATATAAATAAATACCTATAAACACACCACCCACAAGAACTAGAAGATAACCAATAACACATGTTGTGGGGCAGGACCTGATGTGGTCATGTGTTCCATCTCAGTTTGAATCCTGGCTCTGCTGCTTCCTAGCTGTGTACCTTGGATAAGTCATTTACCCTCTCTGCTGCAGTTTATCTGTAAAGTAAGACAACAGTACACACTTGATAAAATTATCATGAGCATTAAGGAAGCTACTGTGCATAAAACTCTTCATATGATGTGCCAAGCACTGCTCTATGTTTGTTAGTAGTATTTATGTGCCTGTATATATATTACCGTATACATTTAGATCTCAGAATATTCAGCAAAAGCTAATCTAGCCTCATGGAAGCTACTTTCTATAGCCCTGGTTCTATTATTTCCCTTAAAACCTGATGAATAAATGAAGAATTAGGACATGATATCACCAACTCATGAACCTCAGCCATGGAACCCCAATGCCTGGCACAATACTACAAAAAGGACTTGAGAAAATACTTTCCTAGTAAAATTACAGGATTAACCAATATAAGAACTGTAGGCAGGCCGGGCGCGGTTGCTCACGCCTGTAATCCCAGCACTTTAGGAGGCCAAGGCAGGTGGATCACAAGGGTCAGGAGTTCAAGACCACCCTGGCCAAGATGGTGAAACCCCGTCTCTACTAAAAATAAAAAATTAGCCGGGCGCGGTGGTAGGCGCCTGTAGTCCCAGCTACTCAGGAGGCTGAGGCAGGAAAATCGCTTGAACCTGGGAGGCAGAGGTTGCAGTGAGCCGAGATCGTGCCACTGCACTCTAGACTGGGCGACAGAGCAAGACTCCACCTCAAAAAAAAAAGAACTGTAGGCTATGAATGTCCAACACTACTTTCTTAGCACCACTAGAAAGTAGTGACATGGCACTGAGAAAGTGGTTTTATTTTCCAGTTTGAAGTAAACTATTGGCCAGAGTGGGATTTTTGCACCCATATGGGAAAGCAACACCATTAACCATTTCCTCCCCACACGCATTCCAACATCTGAACCCAATCCTACCAACACCCAGAAAGCAACAACAATGTAAACATCCATATTCAGTTTATTTTTAAACAGAGGGGCACGTACCCACAGAGAAGCAGGACTGAGAACCATCATGGGGGCTTGCTTGAAGTGATCTGCCCCAGCCTTCTGACTTCAGAGTGTCTCATGATCCAATGGCCATGGGGACGGAGCTGCCCCTTGATAGGATGCACTTAAGCATGGTCAATTCCCCCTTCCCCCAAAGGAAATGGAGAAAAGGAGCCAAGAAGTCAATGAATCCCTGGAATATTGTCCCAGAATCCTTCCAGGGATGGTATACGACTGGCCACCAGTCCACAAATGTGACTGGTAAGGGATCTAGTAACAGAGGATGGAGTTGGGCAGAATATTATCCTGGATGATATGCACCCAGCACTAGAATACACCTTTCATTAGAATGAAGAGAACAGACAAAGCCCTCAGAAAAGATACAAAGGCAGAGACATTGATTAGAACATTATCTCATAACAGAGGTGGGGCCATTACCCACCATTATTGTAAAATAACTGTAACTAACCAAAACACATACAGGCTTCTTTAATGGAGTTAATAAAACTATGGCACATTGGGAATCAGGGGCAGAGGTACTGTTCCCAGACGGAAAACTGGGATAAAGGGAGCCATGCTGACAGGGCCTTATTCCAGTCTAGGTTGTTAGAAAGGAGCCCTAGCCCAGAAATGACAGCAAATAGCCATAATCATTATGTGGGGCTGAACCAGAGGAAGCCAGGCTGAGCCAAGAAGCTGGAAGTATCTTGAACGGCTCTCCAAATCCAAAGATTATCCATACTCTTTATCCCTCCAGCGATGTGTAAAACCAGAAAGTATGAAACACTGGAGGTGGACATCTGGTTTTTATTTCTAGGATATCTTGATACATCTCATTACATTTCACAATCTGCATGGGAAGGAAAAGGATGGTAGAGAACATGGACATCCTGTCTCCCACTGCAAGGGCGTGGAACATGGTAAGGATACCCAGCTGTGACAGGACGTGGCAAGGCAACAAGATGCCTTGTGCCTGGCGTAGGATTACAGCCAACAGCCCTTTTGGCCTGAATTCACCTCCTCAAGGGGAGGTCTCCATGGAATGACCATGATTCCCAACATGGCCAGAAAACCCATCTATCCCACTCATGGGGCAGATGATCAGAGGAGCTGCACTTTTCCCTCCCGAGTAACTCAGACTGAAGTAGGGCCGGACAGGCCCACAAAAGGTAGCATGAGAGAAAGTGAAGGTGTGACACCTCTCTGTCACGTTGTAGAAGGAGACCTCACCAGCATCATAGTCCAAGAAAATCCCCACCCGCTGGAGCGGGGTCCGCAGGGGTAGGGCAGTCATTGGGGAGGTAAGAGCCCAATATTCTTTCCCATACCACAAAGACACTGCCCAGAATCCATTCTGGGGGGCTGAGGTTACTCCACCTTTTCTGCACACTGAGTCTTCACAGACACCTATGGTCCACTTGGCTTTATCTCCCACCTCTACCTCCCAATAATGTCTCCCGGCGATGAAGCATGGAGAGCCCAAGACACAGGGAAACAGATTGAACCTCTCGGGGTTGTCAGGCAGGTCCTGTTGGAGGTAACTGTACCGCACTTGCCGCAGATTATCAGAGAGGATCAGGCTGGGGTAGGCCGTGTCTGGGTCCAGAGTCACGTCCACTGTAGAGACACAAGGAAGACAGTCAGCCGTGGGCCAGGAGAGCCTATTTTAGAACACCCAGCGCCTTTCTACTACCTCCCCAATAATAAGAGGTTCCCACTGGAGGTTGCACGTATTTTATTTAGAATATATTCTAAACTTCACATTTCAAAAATTACTGCTTGGATTAGCTGGTTACCAGAATACTCTGAAAATACAGAATTTTAGCCCCGTATCTTTTCTTTCACATCTGAAGCCACAATATCCATCATGAACTGATTTTAAGAGATAGGGTCTTGCTCTGTTGCCTAGGCTGGAGCGCAGTGGTGTGGTCATAGTTCATTGTAACCCCAAACTCCTGGGCTCAGGTGATTCTCCCGCCTAAGACACCCAAGTAGCTGGGACCATAGGTGTGCACTACCACCCTAATTTTAAAAAATTTTTTGTAGAGATGAGGTCTTACTATGTTGCTCAGGATGGTCTCGAACTCTTGGCCTCAAGCAATCCTCCCACCTCAACTTCCCAAAGCAATGGGATTTCAGGCATGAGCCACTGTGCCTGGCAGATACGCTGAATTGAGGTTTTCTTACACGCTCATCATCCCTTATTCTGAAAATTCCAGGGGCCCCAAGTTTCATAGAATTCAGAATATTACAGGTTTTAGACAGGCAGCATTCTATAATGAAGTATTAATAGATCTGCTGTGAGATTCATGAATGTTTACATAATGAAGGATAAAGGCTCTAAACAGTACCACATAAATTCAGGTTTTGATGCTATAATTAATTTCCCACAAAATAATGAAAAAGGTTTTGGCTTTCAGAGATTTGGGATTTTAGAACTGTGGGTAAGGGACTGGGAACCTGTATCAGTATGCTTACTTTTTAAATCACTCTTTTAAAATTATTTTTTACTTTTTTTTATTTTTTGAGATGAGGTCTCACTCTGTCACCCAGACTGTAGTACAGTGGCATAATCATGGCTCACTGCAGACTTCCCATTTCAGCCTTCCAAAGTGTTAGGACTACAGGTGTGAGCCACTACACCCAGCCCAAATCACTCTTTTATCCATTCTATAAGATCTTTACTCTGCACATCGAAGCTCTATTCATCTTCTTCTAATGTCCAGTCCAAAACACACATCCTCCAAGTTTTTCTTAATCTGCCCAGGCCATTACACTTACTGTTCTGAAATCTAAAACTGTGTATGACCCATGTCATCTCCTCTGGCATTTAGTATTACAGCATCTTGCTATCATCAAGTGTTTTCCTGCTTCAAAAACACTGATAATGGGCTGGATATGTGGCTCATGCCTGTAATCTCAGCACTTTGGGAAGCTGAGGCAAGAGGATTGCTTGCATACAGGAGTTTGAGACCCTGTCTCTACAAAAAATAAAAGTAAAAAAATTAGGCAAGCATGGTGGTGCATGCCTGTAATTCCAGCTACTCAGGAGGCTGAGGCAGGAGGATCACTTGAGCCCAGGAGTATGAGGCTGCAGCAAGCTATCACCATGCCACTGCACACCAGCCTGGGCAACAGAGAACCTGCCTCTAAAATGAATAATAAAAAATTTAAAAAATTAAAATAATAAATAAATAAATAAAAATACTGATATGTATTCTCTCATTTGCTCCTCACATCTTGTTCAGGAGGAAGAGTCCCAAACATTACCTCTCAGAAATTTAAGCCCACAAATTTTTACTCCCACAAAAGACAGGCAACTGATAGAGGTAACCAAGAACCCCAGAACCCTTGGCTCCTGGTTCAACAATCTGTCTACAACAGCTGCCTACCTTCTTCTTGTGTCATGGGTATACCTCCAACCAGACAATGTAAACCCCAAGAGTAGGATGACTTATGCTCTTCTGTTCCTCTAAAATACCCTGCACAATGTTAGGCAGTGTAGGATACAAGCAAAGTACTCATTTAATACTTGTTGAAAATAAATATGGATCAGAGCCACTGCACACCAAGGACTGCAGATCCACTGTATGTAGAGTCCTTCTCTTCATTTAGAGGATAATTCATAACAGAAGGTGACTGTGACTATGGGACGAATACACCTTAGATTTGAATACTTCTGCAATGTTAAATTTACCCAGGCTCTATAGTAGGGTGAAAGCGGTTGTGAGGGGGAAGGGAAGTTTCAAACTTTGCTCTGAGGCACAGTGATGGGATGACACAAGACTCCTAGACTTCCTCTAGCACTCAAGAGCACTATTGTGGAGCTCAATCAGTCCTGCTTGTCACAAACCATGGTTTGACCCTGAAGCTGGGCGGGCAGAGCAGTGTACTAGTGTACCAGCTCTGTTCTACTTTTGGGGAACTGCGGTTTCCACCCTATAATCCTTCTTTAACACCTGAGATTGATTTTACCCTATGGCTTCAGCTCTGAGACATTTCAGGAGGCAAAGATACTGTTAACACATAGAAACAACTGAGGATTTTTGTGGTTGTTGTGTATCATCTTTATACATGTAACCAAAAGAATCCAAATCTAAGCAATTTCCAAATCATTCATAATAGTAGTTAGGTTCACAAGGATTTTTACTCCTTACCCTAATATGGTTTTGTCTCTCATCACCTACCTGAGTATAACTGAGCCTCTCTTAATTCTGAAAGAATAAAAGAGCAAAGTTATGGAAGTCATGAGGGTTTCCAGGAAATACATAACTAAGGGGGCTTTGGTTAGTCATCATAAAGCAGTGGTCTCCACCAGAAACCCCAGAACCTCTGTTGTTAGTCATGCACTAATTTTTTCATATGATGTATGGCTCTATCATCCAACCAAAAGCTTTAAGGGGAGAGGGATTGGGAATCTTAAGTACAGGGATAACCACATGCCTGAGACTGGTAGAATATGGGATAAAACTGAGCCAAGATCAAGAATTCCACCTTCCAGTGAGTCAGCTGATTCTGCAGAGGGAAACGCGGTTCCAACCCCACGTCATACATAACTTTTGAGTTGCATAAGTCATCTGTGTACAAGAGCTGAATGGCTCAAGTGACACTCACTGACACTCTGGGGTAAACATGACCATTCATTTATAAGGCACTTTATAGTTGAAACAGAATTTCTCACACATTATCCCACTAAGACTTTTAAGTGGCAAGAAAAGAAGAGCCAGATCAAGGAAAGTCATGCCTGAACTAACCACTTCTGGTATTATCCACTGTATTGAGTGGAGTTTCTCCCCATTTGTCTTGCTTG
Source organism: Homo sapiens (assembly GCF_000001405.40). NCBI lineage: Eukaryota > Metazoa > Chordata > Mammalia > Primates > Hominidae > Homo > Homo sapiens. The sequence continues at coordinate 173,443 of NT_167244.2, forward strand.
TAGAGGACATGTATCTGCTAGCTCTATGTTGCTAGATGCCCCAAAAAGTATATATCTGAATAGATGCAATGCATATATGAACCCAGCATATACAAAATAGAAAATTATCAAAGATTGTGGGGGTTTGTAATTTCTAATAATTAAGAGAAGGGTTTACCTACATATAAGGATTTCAGAATCCACCAGACTGCCCAGGAATTTTAGTATTCCTGGGTGGAATAATATATGGCCAACTCTTTACTGAATGTGGCTCGTGAGCAGAAAAATTTTAATTTGGAAAAGCTTCTCCAAATGCCTAGAACGATTTAATAAACATAAATATAGGACTTATTATGTGTCAGGTTCTATTCTAGAAGTGTTAGAAATGGTAACTAACCTTAATTCTTATACCTCAGGAGGTAAGAACTATTACTGTTCTGTTACAGATGAGGAAATTACTTGTTGAATCCTTACTAAGTGGTAGAGGCAGGCCCAGAACCCAGGCAGCCTGACTCCTGACTGCCCGCTCCTAACCATGTCCCTGGCGGTGCTGCCTGTCAGTGCTGCTGGATTCCTCCAGCCCGAGCTGGCACCTGTGCCCACAAGCAGTAGGAACTCAGTAAATTACAATGATAAACACTGGCTCAAGTGAAACGTATCCAAGGTAGTTTTTGTTCATTCTTTCCGAAGTAAACAATCAAATTAATTCTGGATTGATTAATTTTTGGATTGCTTATTTTTCTCCTCCATCAATGCAGACTGCGAATTGACTAAATACAGTTAACAAACTTCAAATTAGAACAAGAAGCTGTTAATTGAGAAAATTAATTAAGACCAAAGGGAAGATGTAAAATATCAGGGAAGGCTGGCCAATGGGTATCACCCTTATCCCACGTTTCCCACTTTCAGTGCAGATGTTCTTTTTTCCAAGCAACTTTACATCAAAAGCCCAGTAGGTAGATAAATTTACCTTGGATTTTCTCCATATCTGACTGCATTTTTTCTAAGAAAAGAAAACAAGAAAATATTCAGTCTGCATCCCACTATCTGGCTGGAAAATTATCCTCTTCATCAGGCAATATGCAGATACTCAGTATAAATCCATTTCCCCTCATGACACCTCTCCTCACATTACCTGTGAACTGCTTTAGACTCTCCGTCAAGAATAGACATTTTTGGGCAAAAATGTGGATTTTCTCTTGCAAATCTGGAGGTGTGATCCAAGGTTCAGGAATCCTGATTCTTTCAGCCCTAAATTTAAAAAACATGAGTAAATTTTTTTTTTTTTTGAGATGGAGTTTCGCTTGTTGCCCAGGCTGGAGTGCAATGGCGCCATCTCGGCCCACCGCAACCTCTGCCTCCCAGGTTCAAGCGATTCTCCTGCCTCAGCCTCCTGAGTAGCTGGGATTACAGGCATGCGCCACCATACCCAGCTAATTTTGTGTTTTTAGTAGAGATGGGGTTTCTCCATACTGGTCAGGCTGGTCTCGAACTCCTGACCTCAGGTGATCCTCCCGCCTCGGCCTCCCAAAGTGCTGGGATTACAGGCGTGAGCCACCACGTCCGGCCCAAGTAAATTCTTTTTCCCAATTCCATGACCTTCCAGGAACTAGGACAGGGGCTAAGTTAAACTGTCTAGCGTACACGGACAGTCTTTAAAATCAGCCACTACAGCTTTTCCCACCTTCTCTTCCTGAGCTATGATCCTCTAGACCAAAATAGGATACTGTACTCATTCTCATACCCCCCAAAGCACCTAGCTCACAGCTTTTCAAATACTAAGTACTCAAAAAGGTTTACTGAATTACATATGAGGCTGACTTTGCCAGAAAGCACTAGATTCCATGACAGTCCTTGATATTTATGGTGGGCAATTAACCCGAATTCTCAGGTTCCCAAATATGGAAAGAATGACATGTTCAGATAGAAAGGCACTGTGGGGGACATTACCCAATTCCCTAGCCCTGCAAGGATGTCTATAGCAAAGACTGCCAGTTGCCTATCCAATACCCCTTCTGCCATCTTCTGCCTTTTATGGCTCACAGCTGCCCAGTCCCTCATAGCTAGATGTGACCTTGTGACTAAGTTCTGGCCTATGAGAAGTAAGACGTATCTCATGGTGTTTTGAGAAATCTACTTAAAAATGTAACATGACAGGAAACAGTGGCTCATGCCTGCAATCCCAACACTTTTGGAGGCCAAGGTGGGATAATTACTTTGAGGCTAGGAGTTCAAGACCAGCCTGGGCAACATGGTAAGACCCTGCCTCTACAAAAAAGAAAAATGAAAAAAAAAAAAAAAAAAAAACGAAGAAAAAAAGGTAATGTGATGCGACTTATCTCCTTCTTCTTGGTTGGCATTCTACCAGCTATTGTGGACTATATGAGGACCATACCTTAGGGATGGTAGAACAGTGAATGGGAAGAAACCTGAGTCTCTGAGGATCACTGGAGTTACCACACTAGCCACAGACTACCTACCTGCACATTTCTTACTTTTTTTTTTCTTTTGAGAGGGAGTCAGGCTCTGTCGCCCAGGCTAGAGTGCAGTGGCATGATCTCAGCTCACTGCAACCTCCGCCACAAGAGTTTGAGCAATTGTCCTGCCTCAACCTCCCAAGTAGCTGGGATTACAGGCATGCACCACCACGCCCAGCTAATTTTTGTATTTTTAGTAGAAATGGGGTTTCACCATGTTGGTCAGGCTGGTCTCGAACTCCTGACCTCAGGTGATCCACCTGACTTGGCCTCCCAAAATGCTGGGATTACAGGTGTGAGCCACCGCACCCAACCTGCACATTTCTTTTATTATGTTTAAGCCTTAAGCCAATAAAATTTTGGGTTTCCTATCTTATATAGCCAAATTCAATCCTTAATGTCACAAACTGCTAGGGTCTGAGGCAGCTAACTCTGTATGTTAGGTCACAGCTAGACTGGCATCATAAAGTATCAGGTAACAGTATTATTTGCTTAGGTCATCTGGCTGGGACTGGTATGAACTCCACCTTATCTCCATCCTAGGATCCCTCAGGAACCTCAATTCCATCAACATGATTCTATCAACACAGGCCTCCCAGCCAAACTGCCCCATCTATAAGGACCTCCCCAATCTCCTTAAATGCTCCCACATAGTCAAGCTGCATTTTGCTTTAGAAGGTTTTCACCATTCAGGATCTTAATCACCTTCACAGTACAGCTTCCTCAAAGTCAGTTTCCACCCCTGAAGGCATTCTTACACCAAACATGAGCTTCCCAAGGCCCATCCCACTTGCCTCGTCATCCATCCTGCAAAACAACTTTGCCCTGGCTTACTGCCCCCTCCAAGCTCTCCCTCTTTGATCGTGTTCCAGCTGCCAGGGAGTTCTTCCTCACTTTTTTTTTTTTGATGGAACATAGAGAAATAGCAAGAGTAAGAATAAGAGCCAGAATCCAGGTGGCTCATCAGTAATTATGTAAATGCAGGCCAGTCACACCTTTCTTAGGCTTTATTTCCCCCATTACAGAAAAAAAAAAAATGAGATAATGAAGGGGGAAAGGATTCTGAAATGTATAGGAAGCAATAGACATAAACTACCCTTATATTCAGCCCAGGTCCCTGTAAGGCCACACCCTCTCCATGGAAGTGTCCTCATACCCCTAATCCACCGGCAGCCTCCCACATGAACCCCCTACTTCCTGAATTTTACTGAGTAGAGCTGTGGTTCATCTAATTCTTTGTATACTAGTGACTCTCTTCAGGGATATGTGTCAATTTGATAAGATGTCCATCCTCAGGCTCAGGGCTCCTTTCAGGATTTACAAATGTGAAGGAGACAGTCTTCTCATATTTGATTTAACACTAGGGAAACAGAAAACTATACCTGCTCAATGTGTCCCCAATGTCCTGCAAGAGAAAGGAAAAAAAATAACCATGAGAAGTCATTTAAAACTTCGGTTTTCTTTCACAGATGTTTGTTGAAAAACCAACTACAGACTGGCTCTCATGGGAGAAATTAGGGAGAAAAGGATCACTGGAACATAACTCAGTGTTGAGGAGCTAAAAGGCAGGCAGAGGAAAATGGGATGCATACTATTTGCTATACCAGCATTTCCCATACCCTCCTTCAGTACCCACCATCCACTGGTCAAGGACCTCAGGATTTCAAATTTACTAACTTAAGCGTCCTATGATTGGACCTCAAGCTTGCCTACCTGTCCAGCTTGCTTTCTTTTTATTATGAAATAATTTCAAATACACGGAAAAGCTGTTAGTACAAAGAACTCCAGTATACTTTTTTTTTTTTTTTTTTTGAGACGGAGTCTCGCTCTGTGTAGCCCAGGCTGGAGTGCAATGGCGCGATCTTGGCTCACTGCAACCTCTGCCACCCGGGTTCGAGCAATTCTCCTGCCTCAGCCTCCTGAGTAGCTGGGACTACGGGTGTCTGCCATCACGCCCAGCTAATTTTTGTGTTTTTAGCACAGACAGCATTTTGCCATGTTGGCCAGGATGGTCTTGAACTCCTGACCTCAGGTGATCCACCCACCTCGGCCTCTCAAAGTGCTGGGATTACAAGTGTGAGCCAGCGGTGGCCTCTCCCTTCTTTCATACACAAAAAGTAGCATACTCTTGTCAGGCGCGGTGGCTCACGCCTGGGCAACAAGAGTGAAACTCTGTCTCAGGAAAAAAAAAAAAAGTAGCATACTCTCTATTTCACATTTTTATTTTCCACAAAGCAATATATACTGAAAACCACTCCGTATCAGTTCATAGGTATCATTCTTTTCCTTTTTTTAACTTGGATAGTATTCCATAGTGTATATGTGCATAATTAACTAAAACAATCTTGTAGGTTTCTAAGTCAGACTATTTCCAGTATTTTGCAATTATAAAAATGTTGCAGCAGGTTATCTTGTGCATATGTATTTTCAAATATATTTTAATAGTTATATCTTCAAAGTAAATTCTTAGATTTTTAAAATTTTTTATTGATACGTAACAGACATATATATTTTGGGGGTGCATGCGATAATTTAACATGTTCATAATTTGTAAAGAAATCAGTGTATTGGGATATCCATCACATCGTTAAATATTTGCCTTTTCTTTATGCAAGAAGCATTGCAATTATTCTCCTCTAGTCACTTTGGACTATAAAATAGGCCAGGCGCAGTGGCTCACGCCTGTAATCCCAGCACTTTGGGAGGTCCAGGCGGGCGGATCACCTGAGGTCGGGAGTTTGGGACCAGACTGGCCAACATGGAGAAACCCCGTCTCTACTAAAAATACAAAATTAGCCGGGCATGGTGGCGTATGCCTGTAATCCCAGCTACTCGGGAGGCTGAGGCAGGAGAATCGCTTGAACCCGGGAGGCAGAGGTTGCGGTAAGCTGAGATCTTGCCATTGTACTCCAGCCTGGGCAACAAGAGTGAAACTCCATCTCAAAAAAAAAAAAAAATATATATATATATATATAATATACGTATGTATATGTGTGTGTATATACATAGATATATATAATAGTTTTGTAAACTACAGTCACCCTACTGACCTATCAAACACTAGCTTTTATTTCTTCTATCAAACTGTATATTTGTACCCATTAATCAATCTCTCATCTCTCCTCCCTCTACCCTTCCTAGAAAAATTGTTAATTCTAACTGTGTGTATACATACACACACACACATACAGTTTTGTTAAATATTGAGAAATTCTCCTCCAAAAGGGTCATGATTTTGCATTCCTACCAGCCCACTGGCATATGAGTGTCTCTCCGACACTTCGTCAAAAGTGTATTAAGTTGAAAATTTTTGCTATTGTAACGAGTAAGAAATGGTATTTTAGTGTGGTTTTAGTTTGCATTTCTCTTATTATAAGTACAGCTGAGCATTTTTTCACATGTTCACAAAGCAATTTATGTCTTTTGCAGCTTGTCTATTTGTGCCTTCAACCCATTTTTCTCTAGAATTTTGGTCTTTTCTCTCGCAATACTTAAAAGGTCTTTTTATATTAGAACTATCACTTGTATTTGTGATATTTGTGGCAAATATTCAATTTTAATACTATCTTTTGACTGGTTACAATGTGTGTGCGCTTTTTTCTTGTACTAATACCAACAGCTTTAATTATATGGGCTTTAAAATATGGTGTAGTATCTAGTAGGGCCAGTTCTCCCTCAGAGCTCTTCTTTCACAGTGTAGCCTACCTATGTTTTTTTTTTTTTTTTAAGACAGAGTCTTGCTCTGTTACCCAGGCTGGAGTGCAGTGGTGCAATCATAGCTCACTGCAGGCTCAACCTCTTGGGCTCTAGTGATCTATCCCAGCTTTTTTTTTTTTTTTTGAGACAGAGTCTTGATCTGCCTCCCAGGCTGGAGTGAAATGGTGCGATCTCAGCTCACTGCAACTTCCACCTCCGGGTTCAAGAGATTCTCCTGCCTCAGCCTCCCAGGTAGCTGAGATTACAGGCATGTGCCACCACACCTGGCTAATTTTTGTATTTTTAATAGCGACGGGGTTTTGCCATGTTGGCCAGGCTGGTCTCAAACTCCTGACCTAATGTGATCCACCTGCCTCGGCCTCCCAAAGTACTGGGATTACAGGTGTGAGTCACTGCACCCGGCCTATCCCATAAAAATAAGCACATAATAATATGTGCTTATTTTATATGTGCATATTATTATGTGCTTATTTTTCTATCTGAAGTTGACTGTCAATTTGTCTAGATCCAGAAAAAGAGCTTGTTGGTATTTTTATTGAAATTGCAAGGGTGGGGGGGGGGGGATGAGGGATAACAGATTACTTAATGGGTACAACGTACACTGGGTACCTGGGTGATGGTTACACTGAAATCCGAGACTTCACTACATAATATATCCGAGTAACAGAAAAAAAAAAGAAACTGCATTTATGAATGTGAAGGACAACTTGCTTTCCCTGTCTTATCAAAGAATAAGTGATATCTCTTTATTTGTTCAAGTTTATTTTGTGTCTTTCAGGAATCTTTGAATGTTTTATAATTTTCTCCACATAGGTTTTTGTATATTTCTTATAAATTTATTCCCAGATATTTTATCACTTGTTTTTTTTTTGCAAATGGAAACAGCATGTTCTCTTCTAATATGTCTTCTAGTGGCTGCTATCTGGCATATGAAGGCTGCTGATTTCTGTATGTTAACTTCTTTCCCAATTTGTATACCTATAATTATTTTATTTAACTGAACTGGTTAGAACCTTTAATGCAGTGTTAAATAGAGATAAATGATACTGGGCATCCGGCCTGTTTCTGACCTCAATGGGAATGCCTCCAGTATTGCCCCATTAAGTAATATTTATCCTGCTTTTCCAGTGACTTCCAACATAAACACTTTTTGATATTCATGGAGCCCCTCCTCCCTTACTGAGTCCATGACTTCTTTCTTTCTCTCCTTTCCTCATCATCCACCTTCAGTTTCATGCTCCATCTGTTTAAAAAAATATTCTTAAAAAAAAAAAAAAAAAAAAAAAAGAAGCTTTAGACCAGGCGCAGTAGCTCACGTCTATTATACCAGCACTTTGGGAGGCCAAGGTAGGCGGATCACCTGAGGTCAGGAGTTGAAGACCAGCCTGGCCAACATGGTGAAACCCCATCTCTACCAAAAATACAAAAATTAGCTAGGTGTGGTGGTGTGTGCCTGTAATCCCAGCTACTCGGGAGGCTGAGGCAGGAGACTCACTCAGGAGGTGGAAGCTGCAGTGAGCTGAGATTGTGCCACTGCACTCCAGCCTGGGCAACAGAGTGAGACTTTGTCTAAAAAAAATTTAAAAAAAGGTTTTAAAGCCTTAATTATGGTGCTTGCTTCAGCAGCAGATATCCTCAAATGGGAACCATGCACAGATTAGCATGGCTCCTGCACAAGGATAACACACAAATTTGTGAACCATTTTCTACTTTTTGTGTTCAATGTTCACAGCAGCACTATTGACAATAGCCAAAAGGTGCAAACAACCAAAATGCCCATCGACTGATGAATAAACAAAACATATTATATATCCATACAATGGAATGTTATTCAGCCATAAAGAGAAATACTGAAACATATATATATGTACTGAAATATATATTTTTTCATATATATATTTTTTGAGATGGAGTCTCATTCTATTGCGTAGGCTGGAGTGCAATGGCACGATCTCGGCTCACTACAACCTCTGCCTCCCAGGTTCAAGTGATTGTCCTGCCTCAGCCTCCTGAGTAGCTGGGATTACAGGCATGCGCCACCACGCCTGGCTAATTTTTGTATTTTTAGTAGGGACGGGGTTTCACCATGTTGGCCAGGCTGGTCTCGAACTCCTGACCTCGTGATCTGCCCACCTTGGCCTCCTGAAGTGCTGGGATTACAGGCGTGAGCCGCCGCGCCTGGCCAGTACTGAAACATATTACAATATGAATGAATCTTTAAAAAAATATGCTAAGTGATAGGCCGGGCGTGGTGGCTCACACCTGTAATCCCAATACTTTGGGAGGCTGAGGTGGGTGGATCACCTGAAGTCAGGAGTTTGAGACTAGCCTGACCAACATGGGGAAACCCCGTCTCTACTAAAAATACAAAATTAGCCAGGGGTGGTGGCGCATGCCTGTAATACCAACTACTCGGAAGGCTGAGGCAGGAGAATCGCTTGAACCTGGCAGGCGGAGGTTGCGGTGAGCGGAGATCGTGCCGTTACACTCCAGCCTGGGCAACAAGAGTGAAACTCTGCCTCAAAAAAAAAAAAAAGTATGCTAAGTGAAGAAAAAGGCTACGTACTGTATGATTTCAATTATATCTAATATCTAGAATAGACTAATCCATAGAGCCAGGAGTTAGGGGTAGAAGGAAATGAGGAGTGATTGCTTAATAGTGTGAGGTTTCCTTTTGGGTGGTAAAAGTGTTTTAGATCCAGACAGTGGTTGATAATTTACAACACTGTGGATTTACTAAATGCTACTTTGTGCCAGAGTTTTACACTTTAAAATGGTGAAATTTAGGTTACGTATATTTTACAATTAAAAAAATGAAGAAGGCTGGAAGGCTGGATGTGGTGGCTCACACCTGTAATCCTAGCACTTTGGGAGGCTGAGGCGGATGGATTGCTTGAGCCCAGGAGTTCAAGACCAGCCGAGGCAACATGGCAAAACTCCATCTCTACAAAAATTACACAAATTAGCCAAGCATGGTGGTTTACGCCTGTAGTCCCAGCTACTTGGGAGGCTGAGGTGGGAGGATCATCTGAGCCTGGGAGGTCAAGGCTGCGGTGAGCCATGATCATGTCACTGCACTCCGACTGGGTTTCAGAGTGAGACCCTGTCTCAAACAACAACAATAAAAACTAAGGAAAAAAAAACACTCAAGTCCATCTTGCAAAACCCCAATCCTGGATGAGACTGACCATCTGCTTACTCAGTGCCCACGCCAGAGCAGTCAAGATTTGAGAAAGCAAAGCTGATAAGAAAGTTACACGACAGGGGCTGGGCACGGTGGCTCGCACCTGTAATCCCAGCACTTTGGGAGGCCGAGGCAGAAGGATCACCTGAGGTCAGGAGTTCAGGACCAGCCTGGCCAACATGGTGAAACTCCGTCTCTATAAAAAATACAAAAATTAGCTGGGCGTGGTGGCACACGCCTGTAATCCCAGCTACTTGGGAGGCTGAGGCAGGAGAATTGCTTGAACTTGAGAGGGGGATGTTGCAGTGAGCCAAGATTGCACCACTGCACTCCAGCCTGGGCAACAGAGCAAGAGTATGTCTTAAAAAAAAAAAAAAAAGAAAGTTACACAACAGGGCAGAATGGTTACACTATAAATAGATGTTCACTGACCAAATACTCCTACTAGTTCTCGCAAACCAACTGTCTTTCCCATACTCTGAAACAATCATTTCTTCCCATACAACAGAAGACTCTCTGACACTAATTCCTGGCATATGTACTTTAGTTCTCATTTCCACCTGCCTTCTCAGGAACCGCACATTGCTGATCAGTACATGGTTTCTTTCTTCCTTTCTTTTTTTTTTTTTTGGAGACAGGGTTTCGCTCATTGCCCAGGCTGGAATGCAATGGCGCAATCTCGGCTCACTGCAACCATCGTCTCACTGGTTCAAGCGATTCTCCTGCCTCAGCCTCCTGAGTAGCTGGGATTACAAGCATGTGCCACCACACCCGGCTAATTTTGTATTTTTAATAGAGATGGGGTTTCTCCATGTTGGTCAGGCTGGTCTCAATCTCCCGACCTCAGGTGATCTGCCCACCTCGGCCTCCCAAAGTGCTGGGATTACAGGCATGAGCCACCGTGCCCGGCCAGTATATGGTTTCTTGTGGCTTCAGTGTTCTCCCTCACCTAGAAACCTTACAACATATACTCCTTTCCATATGTATTTTGAAAATATGTCTAACTTCTAGTTTCTTTAACCAACCCTTCCAGATAAAACTCCATAATCCTGTCTCGTCTCTAAGTATTTTATTACAACCCCTTAACAGTTGTACTTGAAATAGTCATCTACTTGTGTAGTCTCCATTCACCTGACCTAGTCACTACTCAACTCCCCCTAATGTGGCTCCTGCCCCAATTATTCCATTGTGATAGTTCTACCTAAGATCACCAATGATGGTCATGTTATTGAATCAAATGGGTATCAGCTTTGATATTATTTGACCTCAACTGCATTACTATGCTGTCCACTCCCTTCTTGCTTCGTCTCAAAAATAAAAAAAGAAAAAAAGAAAGAAAGAAATACATTTTTCTGATTTTTACCATTTAAAAATGTAAACTGGCCTGACGCTGTGGCTCACACTTGTAATCCCAACACTTTGGGAGGCCGAGGAGGGCAGATCACGAGGTCAGGAGTTTGAGACCAGCCTGACCAATATGGTGAAACCCCGTCTCTACTAAAAATACAAAAATTAGCCAGCCATGGTGGTGTGCGCCTGTAATCTCAGCTACTCAGGAGGTTGAGGCAGGAGAATCGCTTGAACCCAGGAGGCGGAGGTTGCAGTGAGCCAAGATCGCACCACTGCACTCCAGCCTGGGCAACAGAGCAAGACTCAATCTCAAAATAAATAAATAATATTAAATTAAAATTAAAATGTAAAAACCATACTTATTGCCCAGGACATACAAAAACAGGGGATGGACCATAATTTGCTGACCCTTGCCCTATGCCATCATCCATTTTTATTTTTATTTTTTATTATTTATTTATTTTTTTGAGACAGAGTCTCGCTCTGTTGCCCAGGCTGGAGTACAGTGGCGCGATCTTGGCTCACTGCAACCACTTCCTCCTGGTTTTGGGCAATTCCTTGCCTCAGCCTCCCGCGTAGCTGGGACTACAGGCACACCGCCATGCCTGGCTAATTTTTGTATTTTTAGTAGAGACGGGGTTTCCCCATCTTGGCCAGGCTAGTCTTGAAGTCCTAGACCTTGTGATCCACCCGCCTCGGCCCCCCAAAGTGCTGGGATTACAGGTGTGAGCCACTGCACCTGGCCCGCCATCATCCATTTTTAATGGCTTTTATCAAATACCTATAAGAACTATCTGATCGCCACACTAAAATATAATTCAGGAAAGCTTATTTGGCACTTAATCCCAGTGCCTAGAATAGTGCCTGACACAAAGCAAATAATTAATACGCACTGAATGAGCAAACGACAGACAGGCATTAGCTCATTTCCTGTAGTCTTGCCGGGGTAGGTCTGCTGCAGCTTTATCACCTGCTCTACCAAGGTTAAATCACAGGACTGCTCAGGTAACCTAACCACTCCTGCTCAAGTGCTCATTGTTTTGTGGCTATAGTAATACATTAAAACTACAGGATACTGGAGTGAGGAGAGTCTTTGAATGACATGTGGTCTAAGCCCCTCATTACTGAACAAATGAGGTCACTGAGGCCCAAAAAGGTTGAGAGCCTTGCCTGTAATCAGACCACTTGTCAGTGCTGTGTAGGCACAAGCACCAGGTCTTCTTTTTGCCATTTCTATGAGACAACGCAATTGACTAATTCAAGTTGTGTGAACCAGAACTTCTAGTTTACACAGTTTCCTTCCAAGGTGCACAATATAGAGTTTGGCAAGCTCTTGCTATTCCTGCAGAGTTAAAAAGAAGACAGGGGGTCCTGGATACTACTTGGCAAAGGAGAAGGGACGATATTTTCAGTGGGTGCTGCTCTAGCAGGGCTCTGCAAGCCTTACCTGCAGGAGCTCCCTGGTGGGCTGCTGCTGCTTCTCTTCTAGCTGAGCGATCAGGCTGCTGAGGTGGGAGATGTTGCAAGAGAACTGGGTGATGGCACCATTGATGCTATTGTAGATGGCCAAGTCTAGCTCCTCAAGGCGGGCCAGGAGGCGATACTCATGCTCCTTTAAGGAGTGATACAGCTGCTCAAACTCCCAAACAATCTTCTCCCTCTCCATCTGGGTTAGGCTCTATGCAGACGACAGGGAAAGGCAGTAAAGAGAAAAACGGCTCATTTCTAGGGCCTTCATAGTTCTCCTGTGACCATGTAGCCCAAGACCTCATTATGGATTAAAACAAGCACAGTGCTAACTCATTATTTCCAGTCTTTACTGACTGGATATATAATGCCCAGGAACTGAATTACCCCAGTGATTATTAAGACATAGTCCCTGTTCTCAAGCAACTCAGAGAAGTGAGTCAGGTTCATATGATATACATAGTCATGGATGGGTAATTAAAGATAGGGTGACAGCCTGCAATGAAAGAAACTGGTACCATCTTCACAGAAGCAATTTCACACAATGTTCATGTGATGAACAAGAATTCACCACATAGGCAATGAGCGGGAAGCCTTTCCAGGCAGAAGAAATGGCACAGGCAAAAGAGTGGGGAGAGAAAGCAAATGGTGCTATCTGGCTGGAGCACATGAGTGTTGAGGGAAGGGACCAGAAAAGGTAAGGCCTTGTCATGCCTGGCCTGGGAGGCTGGGGGTAAGGACTCTATCCCAACTGGGAAGCATGGAAGATTGTCACACAGGAAAGTGACAGGGTCAGATATGTGCCCTATGGAGGATGGAACAACCAATAACAGCTTCCTTGCCCAATTTCCCTGGGCCCTTCATATGTAATCCATACCCGCTGTCTGTCCTTCACGGGTGTTCACCAACTGCTGTCTCTAGCTTTGGGTAGGAGGGGGAGAGGTGCTCTCCCCACGATTCCCTCTTGGCGCTCATTTGTTTGCCATAATTTACTGTCCTTCGTTCTTCACCCAACCCCCACCACCAACAGGACTCTATTATAAACTTTTGTTCTAAACAAGGAGCCAGGCTGGGCGCGGTGGCTCACGTCTGTAATCCCAGCACTTTGGGAGGCTGAGGTGGGCGGATCACCTGAGGTCGGGAGTTCGAGACCAGCCTAACCAACATGGAGAAACACCATCTCTACTAAAAATACAAAAATTAGCTGAGTCTGTTGGCGTACGCCTGTAGCCTCAGCTACCTGGGAGGCTGAGGTGGGAGAATCGCTTGAACTGGGAGGCAGAGGTTGCAGCGAGCCAAAACCTCACCATTGCACTCCAGCCTGGATGACAGTGAGACCCTGTCTTAAAAAAAAAAAAAAAAATTCCCATATACCCCTAATATAAATTAACACATCAGCCACTTGTTAAGGCCTTGAGACTGGAGGAAGAGGGCAGAGTAAAAAATTCAGAATTAAGGCATTGTTAAGAAAGGAGAATAAGCCAAAGAGAAGCAACAGTGGGGATTACACAAATCCACTATTAGCAATTGTCTGCAGAATGGTACCAACGCAAGCTAACTGTATCCAATAATTTTACCTATCTCAGCTTTGCCAAGGATCAACCCTGGTCTACGCAGTTAGCAGGTTAAAGTAAACTGACAGGTCTGATTTCCAAGGGTTCCAAACTTGGCTTCTCCATGCTTTCCCCAAAAGTAAGGGAATCTTAGTTCTCCGGGTGAGTTCCCACTGCCATGTGCGGTTGATCCACCTCTACCTACAAGTTCTGGGTGACATGCTGGACAAGTTTAAGGGAAGTAACATCAGCTCTACAGAAGAGGAGAGCACCAGCAGAACCAACTGTGAATTCCAACAACCCTTACCAAGAGTTCAGCTCGTGCCTGTTCCCCCTGGGCCCGACGTCTCTTCTTTAAATCTTTCACTCTTTTTAAATGGTCGAGCTGGTTCTGGATTTGCTCCTGAGAAAAGCAAAACAGATGGGCAGTTCAAAATTAGGTAGACCTTAGCATCAGCATGGTACTTCTTATCACACATGGAGTCCACACACCTGATGCCAAGTCTCCAGTTGGCGCTTGTCCTTAGGCCACACTGCCACCCACAAGAGACTCAGGGCGCAGGGGCAAACAAGCCACTCCTTTGGCAATCTGTGTCTATCTTAGCAGCCTGTGGCTTCAACCACTCAGCTACCTCGTCAGGACTATTTGTGTCTATCTTAAACAATGAGTCATCTACCTGTCCCTGGTAGGATATTGCATGACTTAGCGGAACTGTGACTGGAGTAGGAGGCTTAGAACTATGTTGTATTGTAGCTCTTCCATATAGGTACACTGTGAAAGTGACTTATTTCCCTCATGTGTGAAATGGGCAAACACCATCTTCCCAACCTACTCAAGAGTTCTCACCAGAGTGAGTGAAATAATATAGCTGAAAGGTCCATAAATGTTAAGTGATTGCACATGAATGTACTCATATTTAAACACGGACATAATTGTGTACGCATTCCTGAAGCCCTCAACGTACAGAAAATACACAGTATCATGGACTCCTTGAAGGTCACCTTACAACTGTTTTATATGTAATACTTTGTTTCCACGTTTCTGTTTAGCTGTGCCAGTTCACAAAGGGCTCTGTGAGTCACATGATTCCACAATATTCCTCATAACTGTGTTATCTCCTGAGTCTCAGAGTGGTTAAGTGACTTACTCCAGCAGCGAAAAGCTGTTCTTTTCTGTGAGTTTCTAGACCAGGACGGATTGCAGGAAAGTGCTGGGGAAATGCTTATAGACTAAGGAATGGGCATAAGTCAGTTAACGTCCAACTGCGTTTTGTCTGAGAGCCGATGGGAGTAAGAGTGTCTGCAGCTTGTCGATGTGTACGCGGTTTTATGCACTTCTTTTAAACTGTCAAAAGGATGTCTCCGTGTACAATGTGTCCGTGAGACAGGTAACATGGGGGTAAACAGAGAAAAGAGAGTGGGGGTGGGGACACTCCTGGCTTCCTCGCCAGCTACAGGTTTTCCTCCAAATCTGAGTGCTGAGGCTCTGGAGCGGACAGAGAGGAAATGACGGCTGTGAACCACACGTCCGGCTCAGCCATTTTCTAGGCGGAAAAAAGGAAGCCCCTTTGGCTCTCTCCTCCCTTTGTCCGACTCGCGCTCCCGCCCTCCCGGATCCGCGCCCTCACCTTGAAGCCCTCCACCGCCTCCTCGAGCGGCAGCACGCTGTGGCCGCGGTGCTCGCGGGAGCGGTCGCACACCACGCAGATGGGCATCTGGTCCTCCTCGCAGTACAGCTTCAGGGGCTCGCGGTGCTTCTCGCACACGCCCATCTCGCCGCCGGGCCCCGACGGCCGCTCGGTGCGCAGCTGCTTTACCAGTTGGGTCACGTTGGCCAGGTGCCGGTTGGGCCGCATGTGCCTCTGCGGGAAGGTCTCCCGGCACTGCGGGCACGACACGTTAGTCTCTGCCGTGCCCCAGCAGCGGGCGAGGCACGCGCAACAGATGTTATGGCCGCAGTCGAGCATCATGGGCTCTGCGAAGTACTGCAGGCACACGGGGCAGGTGGTCTCCTGCTGCAGGCACTCGGCCACACTCCCGGAGGCCATGGCGCCGGCCTGCGGGGGCGCACGGGCATGGGCCCCGGCGCCGAGCTCTGCACTGAGCCCAACTCTCCGGCGCTCTCTCCGGTTCGCTGTTCCTGAGAGGCACCGGGCGGACGGAGGGCGGCGCCTCCCGGGCCCGTATCCCAGACGCGCCCGCGCACCGAAGGCTTGGAGTGGCCGGGCCGATGCCTGCGCCTGTGCCCCCTAAGCGAGAGCGGGAATACGGCCGGCTCACCGAGGCTCGCGGCCACGCTAGTGGGGCAGGAAAGGGTAGCCGAGGGTCAGAGTCCCAGGGCCAGGCGGGCAAAGCGCGCAAGACAACGTGGCCGCGTCCGAGCGGATGCCGGCGGCAGCGTAAACCCCACCCCAGCGCGAGCGGAAGAGGCGGCTCGCGGGGGCGGGGCTTGGCTCGCGCTTCCAGCGAGTGACAAGGTTTCGTGGCCTGGGGGCCTGAGCTGTTTCCTCTTGGAAAGGCCGAGGAGGCTCCGCCACTCTCCTTTGGACTGGTCGCGCTGAAGCTCTATCCTAGGGCACTGGTCGCAAGAGCAGATGGTGCCACACGCTCCGGGCCTACAAACTTCAGCGGCTGCCGGGCCCGGGCCCCTCGTCTTTTGTTGGGTTTCCTCTTGGTGCCAGGTCTCAGCCCCTGCAAAAGAAAGCTGGCTTTGGCCGCGCGCAGTGGCTCGCGCCTGTAATCCCAGCATTTGGGAGGCCAAGGCAGGTGGATCACGAGGTCAGGAGATCAAGACTATCCTGGCCAACATGGTAAAACCCCATCTCTACTACCAATAGAAAAATTGGCCGGGCGTGGTGGCAGGCGCCTGTAGTCTCAGCTACTCAGGAGGCTGAGGCAGCAGAATCCCTTGAACCCAGGAGGCGGAGGTTGCAGTGACCCGAGATCGCCACTGCACTCCAGCCTGCGGGACAGAGGGAGACTCTGTCTCAAAAAAAAAAAAAAAAAAAAAAAAGAAACGAAAAAATGAAAGCTGGCTTTGTATAGGTGCTGGGGAGCGCAAACACCTGGCCTCCCCAAGAGGCTGGAGGATGAGGAGGGTCACCGACTGAGCCCA
Organism: Homo sapiens; assembly: GCF_000001405.40. NCBI lineage: Eukaryota > Metazoa > Chordata > Mammalia > Primates > Hominidae > Homo > Homo sapiens. The sequence continues at coordinate 190,285 of NT_167244.2, forward strand.
CCTGATAAGTGAGGCCTTTTATTAAACAGCCCCATTTGTAGGCACTTGCAGTTTTGTTTAGAAAAAGAAAGGTTTAATTATCAGATGGTAACATTTCTGTGTGTCAATAACAAGCCCAGTTCTGCTACCTCTCACTTGTGCCCAAGCAAGTTGGTTTACCATTCATTTACCTCAGTTTCTCCTCGTGTGAAATGGGGATGATAATTGTACCGCAGTAAGAAGTAGATTTCGTTACATCTTTTACTTTTTGAACCATAAGATTGTTTATCCATTAAAATGGTATTAAAATGCCCACTACGTAGGGTTGTTGTATTGAGTAGCAACTAAAAATTGCTTGCTCCTTTCTGAAGTATAGAGAAACTAAGAATCCTGCGGTGACCCAGGGTCTTGGAGTCCCACAATACTCATTGTCTTATCATCCAGTAGACCTCCAGCATTTTTAAGTTGCTTTCTTATCCCTTACTTGGTGTTTCCTAGTTTTCTTTGAGATTTTCTCAATATTGTCTTGCTATCTGAGCAAGGCGGGCTTCTGCTTCCAGACCATCACTTTATTTTTATTTTTTCAAAGTGAAAGTAAGATTATTAAGAAAATAAAGGAATAAAGAATGGCTACTCCGTAGGCAAAGCAGCCCACATCATCACTTTAGAGAGTTCCACTCTGGTCCTCTTCCCCATGGGACAAGAAGTCTGAGGGATTAAGTGGACTTGCCAGCCCCAAACCCACATCTACCTTCTCAACCATACTCTGAGTACCCAGTCATTCAAATTCCAGTCCCAAATAGCTTTAGCCCATTTCCAGAAAAATGTAGAGTACTTGGGCCAGGCCACACCACAGTCTGGTCTTGGTTTGAGATTGGGTCAACAATGAAATTTGTAAGAATTAAAGGATATGTCTATTCTCATTTACTCCAAAAAGGACTAATAAGCATTGCAATACAGTGCAGAAATATGAGAGATATGGATAGGTAGATAAAGCTGCCCTTCATCTTCTCCTTTACTTGGGGGATGCAAGCCTTGAGTTTGGCTTTGTTTTTCAGAATTGATTGTGTTTATCTTACCAACCCTTTATTACCTCTGGAGGCAGGTGACCTGGGGGTAAAGAAAGGTAGAACAGGCAGGGTGTGGTGGCTCATGCCTGTAATCCCATCACTTTGGGAGGCTGAGGCGGGTGGATCGCTTAAGCCCAGGAGTTCAAGACCAGCCTGACCAACATGGTGAAACCCCGTCTCTACCAAAAATACAAAAACTCGATGGGCACAGTGGTGCACACCTGTAATCCCAACTACTCTGGAGACTGAGGCTGGAGAATCACTTGAGCCTGGGAGACAGAGGTTGCAGGGAGCCGAGATCAGGCCACTGCACTCCAGCCTGGGCAACAGAGCAAGACTCCGTTTCAAAAAAGAAAACAAAAGGAAAAAATTTTAAAAAGGTAGAACAAAATAGATGAGTTGGGTAGAACAAGGTGGGAGTGGGGGAAAGGGAATATTTACATTAGCAATCTCTAACAGTCCCCTTCCTTTTTTTTAATTTAAAAAAGTTACACCTGTCTTTTTCTCAATAAATTTTGTAAGAAAAAAGAAATTTTAAGAGATGGGGTCTTACTATGTTGCCTAGGCTAGTCAAGAACTCCTGGGCTCACGTGATCGTGACCCTCCCATCTCAGCCACCCAAAGTGAGGGGATTACAGGCAGAAGCCACCATGCCCAGCCCCTCTTCCTTGAGTGTTTACTGTCTTCCCTTCATCATCCAGATTTCATGGAATTTTGATTTGCTTAATTTACCTGTTCATGTTAATTTCTATTACTAATCCTAACCTATATTATTGCACCAGTGTGTCAGTTTACAAGTATTTTTCAAAGAATCGGTAGCCGTGCAGCCTTCCCATTAATTTCTCTATTTGTACTTTTTCACTGATTCAAATACCACCTCAAGGAATAGAATCATCCTTAAAAATTCTTAAAGAAGAAAATGCTTTTCATTCTGTCGCTTCTTACTCAGACATCTTCAAAGTTTTGTGGGTTTTTTGTTGTTGTTGTTTATTTGTTTGTGTTTGCCTCTGGGACATTGTCCAAATTCTTTAGTATAAAGGCCTAATAAAATTCTTATTAATAGGCCCGGTAGCTCACGCCTGTAATCCCAGCACTTCCGGAGGCTGAGGTGGGCGGATCCCGAGGTCAGGAGATCATGACCAGCCTGGCCAACACAGTGAAACCCCGTCTCTACTAAAAATACAAAAATTAGCCGGGCATGGTGGCGCACACCTGTAGTCCCAGCTACTCAGGAGGCTGAGGCAGGAGAATCGCTTGAACCTGGGAGGCGGAGGTTGCGGTGAGCCGAGATCGCGCCACTGCACTCCAGCCTGGGCGACAGAGCGAGACTCCGTCTCAAAAAAAGAGTATTAATAAAATATACTTTTTTTTTTTTTGAGACAGAGTCTCGCTCTGTCGCCCAGGCTGGAGTGCAGTGGCGCGATCTCGGCTCACCGCAAGCTCCGCCTCCCAGGTTCACGCCATTCTCCTGCCTCAGCCTCCTGAGTAGCTGGGACTACAGGCACCCGCCACCATGCCCGGCTAATTTTTTGTATTTTTTTTAGTAGAGACAGGGTTTCACCGTGTTAGCCAGGATGGTCTCAATTCCCTGACATCGTGATCCGCCCTCCTCGGGCTCCCAAAGTGCTGGGATTACAGGCGTGAGCCACCGCGCCCGGCCTAAAATATACTGTTTTAGGGACAGGCACAGTGGCTCACGCCTATAAACCCACTCTGGGAGGCTGAGGCGGGCGGATGACCTGAGGTCAGGAGTTTGAGACTAGCCTGGCCAACATGGGAAGCCCCGTCCCTACTAAAAATACAAAAATTATCCACGCATGGTGTCGCATGCCTATAACCTCAGCTACTCGGGAGGCTGAGGCAGGAGAATCGCTTGAACCTGGGAGGCAGAGGTTGCAGTGAGCCAAGATTGCGCTATTGCACTCCAGCCTGGGCGACAGGAGCGAGACTCTGTCTCAAAAAATAAATAAAATAAAATATACCGTTTTAAAATGAATTTCCTCCTGCCTCCTCTAAACCTCCCTGCCCTAAGGGAACGAGTGACTTTTACTAGTATTGGCCAAATCCAAGGGACACTTTTCAGTCTTCATCTTAACATCTCGAAGGCATTTTATGTGGAGTCCTAATCAGGGAAAAGGAGTCAGGCTGGTGGGACCAGGGGAAAGCAAAGATAAAGCAAACAAGTGATAGGTCTGCTTTTTTTATGGCCCAGGGCACATGGCCCTCCTGTACATAACTCACAAACTTCCTGCTTACCATCAAACGCCTCGATTTATCAAGCACCTTGGCTGACAGAAGAATGCGGGTTAAGCTTCCTGCTACCTTAGCGTTATCAATCAGTCCAAGTTCCATTGTATAAAATCCCTAGCAAGTCTTTGTTTCTTTGTAGTCAGCTTCTCTTCTGTTGATACTGCCTGTTGTCTCCCTGGCAACATATTTTTCTACTTTCTCTAATAAATCTGCCTTTCTTTACCTACAATGGTCTTGGTAAATCTTTTCCCCCTACACCACAGGCCCAGTTAGTCGTCACTTACCTGTGACATTTTACACTGTTGATCCCTCCCTCCTTGGATCATTCTTCTTCCAAGCAGCAAACTGAGTGGGACCTGATGAGGCCTAAAGTATTTCTGCTTCTTCTATCTCCTTCTCTCTTATCTGTCTTTTACCAACTGATACTAACCTTAGTCTGGAAAAATAAAAAATTATCATAATAAATACAAGAATACAGTACTTAAGAAGCCAACGTATTAGATGAGACAGAATGGGAAATGGAGAAAAAGACAAAATATCAATAAGAATTTAACATTAATATAAGGTCCGGGCGCGGTGGCTTATGCAGGGTAATCCCAGCACTTCGGGAGGCCACGGCTTGAGTTTAGGAGTTTGAGACCAGCCTGGGCAACATGGTGAAACCCAGTCTTTACCAAAAATACAAAAAATTAGCTGGGTGTTGCGGCGTGCACCTGTGGTCCCAGCTACTGGGGAGGCTAAGGTGGGAGGATCCCTTGATCCCAGGAGGCAGAGGTTGCAGTGAGCCGAGATTGCACCACTGCACTCCAGCCTGGGTGACAGAGCCAGACCCCATTTCCAAAAAAAAAAAAAAAAAAAAAAAAAAGAATTTAGTACAAGATACAGGAGAAATTGCAGGTTGGTGCTATACATTCAATAAATGATTGTGGAATAACTGGCTAGCTACTTGGGAGAAAAAAGATCTCATCTCACTTCTTATACTGAACTATATTATTGATCAATGAAATTTTTTTAAGAAAATTAATCCATAAAAATTCCAGGAAAAAGAAAACTGATTGATTTTTTTTAAGGCACTTGTCATCTGGAAGATCTTTCTAAACATGACCCCACAGAAGTCACAAATGGATAAATTTGGTTATACAGAATTCAAAATTAGATGTCTTCTTATAAAAAAATTTTCTAAACAGCTGAATGATAAAGGAAAATTGGGGAAAGATGTTTTTAGCAAATTAAACAAAGGATGAATTTCCTTGAGACAAAATATTTGCACAAATAAAAGCAAAAAAAGAGAGAAGAAAAATGAGCAAAGGTCATGAACAGATGGTACAGAGAAAAAGAACAAATGGTCAATAAACATGTGAAAAGAGGTGATGTTAATTTTAATTTATGAGATTAGCAAAGATTTAAAACTTTGACAGTATTCAGTATTAATGAGAATGTGAGGAATTCCAGTACACTGTGAGAATGTAAATTGGGAGAACACCATTGAAAGCAATTTGACAATTGGGCTGGGCGCGGTGGCTCACGCCTGTAATCCCAACACTTTTGGGAGCTGAGGCGGGTGGCTCACCTGAGGTCAGGAGTTCGAGGCCAGCCTGACCAACACGGAGAAACTCTGTCTCTATTAAAAATACAAAATTAGCTGGGCGTGTTGGCGCATGCCTGTAATCCCAGCTACTCAGGAGGCTGAGGCAGGAGAATAGCTTGAACCCGGGAGGCAGATGTTGCGGTGAGCCGAGGTCACGCCATTGGACTCCATCCTGGGTGACAAGAGCAAAACTCCATCTCGATTAAAAAAAAAAAAAAGTAAAAGAAAACAATTTGACAATCACTAAAAAAATTTAAATGCACTCACTCGTAGAACCTTCTACTCTGCTTCTCTCCCATCTGGACAGAGATGTTTGATTATACAAGGATTGCCATTACAGCATTGTTTGGATTTGTAAAATACTGGGACCAACGTCAATATGCTCCAACAGGGGATAAGTTAATGAAAATATTATGCAGGTGTACAATGAAATGCTATGCAGTTTCCAAAAACAAAAACAAAGAAGAAGGAGGAGGAGGAAGAAGAAGAGGAAGAGGAGGAGGAGGAGGAGGAAGAAGAAGAAGAAGAAGGAGGAAGAAGAAGAAGAAGAAGAGGAAGAAGAAGGAGAAGAAGAAAAAGAAGAAATAATCTAATAGGGAAAGGTGTCTGAGATTTATTTACTCATTAATTTATTCAACAAATGTTTGTTGAGTGTCAACTATGTGCCAGTCTTCTAGATTCCAGGACACTGTGTGGAACAAAACAGACAAGGTTGCTGGGGTCATGGAATTACTTTCTAGAGGGAAAGTTGGATGATAAGCAAACCAAGCAATAAACACATGGTATGAAACATGCCATAAAGTGGAATGAATCAGAATATGGAAGATGAAGAGTGATGGTTATTACTTTATATTGGGTCATCAGGGTGGAATCTCTCTGATGAGGTAGCCAAACAGCTGCTGCAGTTTAGAGTCTCAAATTTGCATGTCACTGGGCATTTATCTCAGAGAAATAAAAATGTTTGTTCACCCAAGAATCTGCACAAAACATTGTTCGTAATAGCCAAGCCTAGAAATAATTCAAATGTCCTCGAATGGTGAAGAGTTAAACAGTGGCACATCCATATTATGAAATACTACCCAGAGATAAAAATGAATGAACTACTGAGATAGGCAGCAACTTGGATAGATCTCAAGGAAATTATGCTGAGTGAGAAAAGTCAATCTCAGGTTGTGATTTGTATGATTCCATTAATAACATTTATTTATTTATTTATTTATTTATTTATTTATTTATTTATTTTTGGGAAAGAGTCCCACTGTGTTACTCAGGCTGGAGTGCAGTGGGACAATCTCGGCTCACTGCAGCCTCTGCCTTCCGGGTTCAAGTGATTCTCCTGTGTCAGCCTCCGGAGTAGCTAGGATTAAGGCATGTACCACCATGCCCAGCTATTTTTTTTTTTTTGTATTTTTAGTAAACACGGGTTTTCACCATATTGGCCAGGCTAGTCTCCAACTCTTGACCTCAAATGATCCACCTACCTCGACTTCCCAAAGTGCTGGAATTACAGGAGTGAGCCGCTGTGGCCAGCCCACAACATTCTCGAAATGATAAAATTATAGAGATAGAGAGCAGATGAGTAGTTGCTAGGCATTAGGGAGAGAGAAGGGAAGGAGGTGTCTGTGGCTATAAAAGGGTACCCTGAGGGATCCTTGTGATGGAACAGTTTTGTATCTTGACTGTAATGTTGTTCCTATGTGATATTTACACATGCAATAAAATTGTATAGAACTAAACACACACAAACAGATGAGTGTATGTAAAAATGGTGAAATCTGAGTAAGATTGGTGGATTTTATCAAAAATAATTTCCTGGTGTGATATTGTACTATATTTATGCAAGATGTTACCATTGGGAGAAACTGAGTGAAGGGTATGCTGGATCTTTATTTTTATTTTATTTTATTCTTTTGGAGACAGAGTCTTGCTCTGTCGCCCAGGCTGGAGTGCAGTGGCATGATCTTGGCTCACTGTAACCTCCGCCTCCTGGGTTCAAGCAATTCTCATGCCTCAGCCTCCCAAGTAGCTGGGATTACAGGCATGTGCCACCATGGCTAGGTAATTTTTGTATTTTTAGTAGAGACAGGGTTTTGCCATGTTGGTCAGGCTGATCTTGAACTCCTGGCCTCAAGCAATCTTCCCTCCTCTGCCTCCCAAAGTGCAAGGCTTATAGGAGCGAGCCACTGCACCCAGCCACTGAATCTTAATTACATCCTATAACTGTATGTGAATCTACAATTATGTCAAAATAAATTTTAAAAAATTTCTGCAGTCACAGCATCAATGACTTGTCTTTCCCAGCCAGCAAAGCCCTGTGTTTTGCTCTTATTGATTGGACTAATCCCTGTGGACAGAGAAATTCATGTGCCAGTTGGCTTAGGTTTGGTTTTACTACCTATTCCTGAACCAATTACTATGGCAAGGGGACTGAGATAATGCTCACTGGTCTATGCATCAAGACCCACTGAAAAATGTAATTGTCATTAGTCATCTAAATATAATTTATTTTTGAATTGGTTATGTGCTTCCCAACATTTAGCTATATTCTATTTCCTGGGGATAAAATCTTTGAAGACAGTGGGAGGAAAAGCTAATCTGACCCCTTCTTTCAAACAGCAAGGGGTTGAGGATTTCCTTGATTTTAACACAGGCATTTTGAATATGAGCAGACCATGCCTGGTAAACACACTAGACAAGATTCCTGCCCTTATGGAGCTGACAGGCCACTGGGGGCTGGATGGAGGCCGAGATGGTAGCTGTCTCCAAGATAGTCACTATCTTAGAGACCTCTCATATGCACATGACATTGGATCACCAAGATATGTAAGCTGGGCATCATGGCACATGCCTGTAGTTCCAGCTACTTGGGAGGCTAAGGTGGGAGGATTGCCTGAGCCCAGGAGTTTGAGGCTGCAGTGAGCTATGATCATGCCACTGCACTCCAACCTGGGCGACAGAGTGAGATCCTCATCTTAAAAAAAAAAAAGGCCGGGTGCGGTGGCTCGCACCTGTAATCCCAGCACTTTGGGAAGCCAAAGCAGGCAGATCACCTGAGGTCAGGAGTTCAAAACTAGCCTAAGCAACATGGAGAAACCCTGTCTCTACTAAAAATACAAAATTAGCTGGGCATGGTGGCGCATGCCTGTAATCCCAGTTACTTGGGAGGCTGAGGCAGGAGAATCACTTGAACCTGGGAGGTAGAGGTTGCAGTGAGCCAAGATCACACCATTGCACTCCAGCCTGGGCAACAAGAGTGAAACTCTGTCTCAAAAAACAAACAAACAAACAACAACAACAACAGAAAACAGGGTGCAGCCCACTCCTCCAGCCCCTTGAATCTGGTGGGCTGGCCTATGAGTACTGTGACTAACACTGTATGGCAGAAGTGATTCTATACCAGTGCCAGGCCAGGGCTGTAAGAGGGCTGACAGCCCCTGTCTTGTGTCTCTGAGTCCTGAGACACCATAGATATGTCTTTATTAGTCTCCTCAGGCTGGCATACAAAATACTAGATGGCTTAAAAAACGGGAATTTATTTGCTCACATTTTATTTTCTGGATACTGGAAGTCCAAGATCAAAGTCTGCAGGGTTGGTTTCTCCTGAGGTCTCTCTCCTTGGCTCGCAGGCAGCCGCCTTCTGACTATGTCCTCACATGACCTTTTCTCTGTGTGCATGCACCTCTGATGTCTCTTCTTCTTCTTATAAGGACACCAGTATTATCAGCTTAGGGCCTCACTCTTATGACATCATTTATCCTTAATTGTCATCCCTATAAAGATCCTATCTCCAGGCAGTCGCGGTGGCTCACGCCTGTAATTCCAGCAATTTGGGAGGCCGAGGCAGGTGTATCACTTGGGGCTGGGAGTTCAAGACCAGCCTGGCCAATATGGCAAAAGCCTGTCTCTACTAAAAATACAAAAATCAGCTGGGCATGGTGGTGCACACCTGTAATCCCAGCTACTCAGGAGGCTGAGACAGGAGAATCACTTGAACTCAGGAGGCAGAGGTTGCAGTGAGCCAAGATTGAGGCACTGCACTCCAGCCTGGGCAGCAGAGCAAAACTCTATCAAAAAAAAAAAATTATCTTCAAATATAGTCACATTGGGGGTTAAAATTCCAAAACATGAGTTGGGAGCTGTGTGTATGTGGTGGGCAGAGTGGACACAACTCAGTCCATAGTGATGTCCACCTACTCTACTACGGGACTCCATAAGGGGGGAGTGAGCTCATTGAGGCCATCCTTCCAGCCATTCCCTGAGAAAAGCATGAGGATTTTCAGTGAAGAGCAGCCCAACTACCAAATGGATACATTCTGAGTTGCCAGTTAATGCCAGGTGTTACAGAAAAATCATCCCAGTGAGCCCTACCTGTTGGGGCAGTTTGTTATGCAGTATGAAATAATCAGAATAAGGAGTTGCATTCAGTTATTAATCAAATCAATATGTGGTTACTAATTGTGACAACTTCTATGATGGAAGAGACAGGATGCTATGAGAAAGAATAACACAGTGGGTGGGAATGGCATCACAAACTGCAAGGGAGAAATAATTGAAGGACCTAGAGATGTTGGGCCTGAAGAAGATTTCAATGCTTTTGTGAGCTCTGGAACCATTTCTCTTCCCTTTCTGGGCTAAACTCCTTGAATAAGCGGATCCCTCCGCTTTCCTTGCAGGTGACCACTCCCTCCAGATCAGCCTCTCATAAAACTTTTCTCGTCTTCCCAGGTCACAACAATTTTTCCCTTTTTAACATTGTATTAGGCTGTGCCGGCACTGCTGTAAAGAAATACCTGAGGGCCGGGTGCAGTGGCTCACACCTGTAATCCCAGTACTTTGGGAGGCTGAGGCTTGCGGATCACTTGAGGTCAGGAGTTTGAGACCAGCCTGGCCAACATAGTGAAACGCTGTCTCTACTAAAAATATAAAAAAATTAGCTGTGTGTGGTGGCGTGTGCCTGTAATCCTAGCTACTTGGGAAGCTGAGGCAGGAGAATCGCTTGAACCTGGGAGGTGGAAGTTGCCGTGAGCCAAGATTGTGTCACTGTACTCCAGCCTTGGCAACACGGAGAGAGACTCCATCTCAAAACAAAACAAAACAAAAAAAGAGAAATACCTGAGACTGGGTAATTTATAAGAAAAGAGTTTTAATTGGCTCATGATTCTGCAGGCTGTACAGGAAGCACAGTGGCAGCTGCTTCTGCAGAGGCCTTGGGAAACTTCCGGGTTTTTTGTTTTGTTTTGTTTTTTTTCAGACGGAGTTTCTCTCTTGTTGCCCAGGCTGGAGTGCAATAGTGCTGTCTTGGCTCACTGCAAGCTCCGCCTCCCGGGTTCAAGCAGTTCTCCTGTCTCAGCCTCCAAGTAGCTGGGATTACAGGCGTGCACCACCGCGCTTGTCCAATTTTGTATATTTTTAGTAGAGACTGGTTTCACCATGTTGATCAGGCTGGTCTTGAACTCCTGACCTCAAGTGATCCACCTGCCTCGGCCTCCCAAAGTGCTGGGATTACAGGTGTGAGCCACTGCACCTGGCCTAGGAAACTTCGAATCATGGCGGAAAACAAAGGGGGAGCAGGCATATCGCCTAGCGAGAATGGAGCAAGGAGGCCCCACCGGACCCCACCTCCAATATTGGGGATTACATCTCAATGTGAGACAAATATCCAATTTGAGTGGGGACAAATATCCAAACTATATCAAACATTTTTAGAGTTTATGCTGTAGAGCATTTAATTGACATTAAATGATAAACTGTTTCATATTGTTAATTTATTGAGGTAAAATATACATAAAGGGAACAAGCCTTCAGTGTATAAGCTAATGAATTGTTACATGTGTGTACCCACCATCCAGATCAAGAGGAAAAATATTTTCAGCATCCAGGAAGGCTGTCTCATGTCTCTTTCCATCAGTATCCACTCCCAGAGGTTACTTAGAAAAAATCACTATTCCAAATTTCTAGAAGCATTGATTAATTCTGCCTGTTCTTGAACTTCATATGAAGAGACTCCTATCATGAGCACTTATTGGGGTTTTAAATTGTTGTCTGTTATGAATAAAGCTGCCCTAAACGTTCTGGTGGTATATGTCTGTTCATGGACAAATGCCCTCATTTCTAGGAGTGGAATTGCTAGTAGGCATATGTTTAGTTTTTTAGATAATGCCAAAAAATGTTCCATAGTGAATGTGCTAATTAACACTTCTAGCAGCAATGCATGAGAATTCTAGTTGCCGCACATATTACACCAACACTTGGTACAGCATATGTGTTTTAAAATATTTTAGCTGTTCAGGTGGATTTGTAGTGGTATCTCATTGTGGTTTTAATTTATATTTCCCTGCTAATTAATGATACTGAGCACATTTTCAAATTTTCTTTTGCTGGAGTGCAGTTATGCAATCATGACCCACTGCAGCCTCAACTTCCCAGGCTCACAGGATCCTCCTACCTCAGCCTCCTGAATAGCTCAGACTACAGGCACACGCCACCATGCCTGGCTAATTTTTTTTTTTTTTTTTTGTAGAGATGGTGGGGCAGGGGGAGTCTTACTATGTTGCCCAGGCTGGTCTCGAACTCCTGGGCTCAAGTAATCCTCCCACCTCCTGAAGTGCTGGTGGCATTACAGCGTGAGCCACTGTCCCTGGCCTCATATGTGTACTATTTGAATGTAGTCTTTAGGGAAGTTCCTGATCAAGTCTTTTGTCATTAAAAAAAAATTATTTGTCTTTTTCTTGTTGATTTACAAGAGTGCTTTATATATTTAGGATGAGTCCTTTCTCAGGTATGTATTTTGCAAATGTTTCCTGCAATTTGTGGCTTCCATTTTTCATTTTCTTTTTCTTTTTTTTTTTTCGGGAGACAGAGTCTCACTCTGTTGCCAGGCTGGAGGGCAGTGGCACAATCTCGACTCACTGCAACCTCCGCCTCCCGGGTTCAAGTGATCCTCCTGCCTCAGGCTCCTGAGTAGCTGGGACTACAGGTGTGCGCCACCACGCTCAGCTAATTTTTGTATTTTTAGTAGAGACAGGGTTTCACTGTGTTGGCC